>NC_000006.12:18696363-18847878 GCF_000001405.40 Homo sapiens
TTGTAGAGATGGAGTCTTGCTATATTGCCCAGGCTGGTCTGGAACTCCTGAGCTCAAGTGATCCACCAGCCTTGGCCTCTCAAAGTGTGGGATTACAGGCCTAAGCCACCGCACCTGGCCTCCTCTGGTCTTATTCACAGAAAGTCTTAGAGACCTCCTCCACCTGTCATTGACCTTTAAGTGACTGATATCTAAAGGATACCAAAGAAAAGGTTTGTTTGTAGGAACAAAATTTAATGTTTCATCAGTCTTTTGTGTTTCAAAGTCATGCTATATAATATTATGAGAAAGTTTTTTGGGAACAGAAAATACTTGATTTTAGAAGTGACCAAGGTAAGTCCCTATAAGGAAGGAAAATGGAGACCCACACATTGCCACTTTTTGGAATTGCTTTCATGGGGTTTAAAATAAGATCCTATTTTAGTTAAACAACTTGGATGGCATATGTGAAGTGCTGTGTAATTTACAACCCCCTCCATGTATATTTCATTAGATTTTTTTTTTCCCACAGCAATTCTATGAGCTAGATAGGGTAGGGAATATATTCCTATTGTGCAGAAGTGTAACCTGAGGTATAGAGAGTGTCTTGTCTATGGTCAAACAGGCAAGCAGTTGCTAAGTGACTGGGCCAATGCTTAACCTCTAGTCTTCCTGCTCTAGTACTGCCATTCCAGATGCCAAAATGAGCTTTTCTATTTGCAAAGAGTTTACTAAATGTTATGGCATTATTATAATTGCCACATTTTGCATTAGGAATTCCTCAGAAAAGGGAACTACATTATTCCATGAATGAATCTCAAACCTTGCCTTTTTAGTGCCTATTCCTAAAAGTAGACAAGCTTTTCTAGAGATGTACAGATGTTAAATGGAAGAAATAAAGTCACATTCATAATACAGATGACACTGGATTCAGGAGGAGCTCAATAGGCTGGATATAAACCTGCATGTAATTTCAAGTCAGAGAACCAAATAAAAATATTTCTAAAAGTAGTTATAAATGAAAAATACTGCCTTGACCATTCTGAAGAGAATGAGTTAGTGGTCTTAAGGATGCAAGTGCAAAGCAAGTTGTGTGTGTGTGTGTGTGTGTGTGTGTGTGTGTGTGTCAGCTTTGCCAAATTTTTGCCAGTGGTTCTAAATAGGAGAGTTATTGAGCAATCACAGTGAGGGTTCCAGCGTCCTACAGCTGGAATCTGTGCAGGTGCAGCTTTCTGGTTGCAGGCCAGCATTTTTTTTGCACTACTGCTGGCAGTAACCATTTTAAAATAGAAACATGATTGTACTTTATTTTAATATTTCTCCCTTCCATTTTTTCCCCTACTGTAAATCAATTCTGCTCTGAGCATAACGTCCTTGCCAAGGTTTCGGGTAACAGGTTAAGCCCACTGGCTGAGGCTCTTTTCAGCAGTTGGAAACACAATGAGTAAGTATACTGCCAGTTGGTATGGTACACGTGACTGAATGAGAAAATGTTAACCACACAAAGCAAACTTTTCTTGGGCTTTTGTGACATTCGGAGATGAACTATTTCACTACTCCCAACACCATGGCAGGTAGCAGGCATATGTTAACTACGTGATCATAGTTCTCCTGGTTTGCTGTCTTACCCTATGGGTTCTGGGAAGATTGTAATATATATGAAGTCATTGGGTGTCAAACAGATCTCTCTGCAGAATTGTAATTAAAGAAGCTTACACTTGCGTAGCACTTATCTGTTCCAGACACTATTCTAAAATCTTTACATGTATTAACTCATTAAATCCTCGCACCAACTCTAAGAGAAGGTACTATTCTTATGTGATTTTTATAAATGGGGAAACTGAGGCACAAAGAAATCAAGTAACTTGCCCCAGGTCCTATAGATAATAAGGGCAGGGGGAGCCAGGATTTGAATTTAGGGAGTCTAGGGTTAGAGTCTGTGCTGCTTACCACGTGGCTACATAGGATTCCGTTTTGGAATTTTAAGGCTATCTAATTTCACAACAAGCCAAGGTCAACTTCCCCACTCCCTTCAGGTGCTGTTTGTATACATGTCTATCTCCTCGAGTAAACTGCGAGCTGTGTAAAGGTAAAGGCTGGGCTTTTAATCTTTATATCTGCTCTTGCCATCTAGAACTAGACTTTTCTATAATAAGTATTCAACAAGATACCTGAAGCAGACATTTCAGGGATTCGAAAAGAATATGTGCCAGAATGTTTGATTATAGTACAGAAGATCAAAATAATTAGGAGATTTGTTTTAAAGTTCAAATACAGTAAGTTCAGCATCAAGTGAGTGTCAATTTGTAGCACATTTTCCCACAGGACCAGGCCTCATGTAGTTTCCTACCGGATCTTAAAAAGACACAACCACATTTTCTGTTCTTTGTAACATACATACAAGCCAATTGTTGCTATGCAGGAGTAAGCATCCTTAGCGGTGTTTTTTTCCTGTTGGATGACATGGTCTTTGCTTTTGAAATAACCCTGTCTTCAGTTAGTCTCCTTAGAGCCTGGCTTTGTCAATAAGGACATCTTGACTTAGTTCTTTGGAATACTTATAATAAACCCCAGTTACCCATAACTGATAATAGTTTTCCAAAACAGCTAGTTTTTGCTCCTGGTTCTGTGACCTTAGGTATCGGTAGAAATGACTGACCTTGCATGTTCCTAGAAGAGGTCACCAGGTCTGCCCTTTTCTGGTAAGCCATTAGAGATGCCAAATCTCTATTAGAACCCATGTATTTCATTTTTCTGTCAAGTTTTATAATTGGAGAATACTCATTGAAAACTAAAGGTTGTAAATGGAAAGTCTTGCTTAATACTGTAGAAGACAGACAAAGCAGTGAATTGGGAACTTAGAGTTTGTGATTTCAGTTCCAGATTTCTGGCTAAGTGGCTAGCCAGGGGACCCTGAGCAATCAAAATGAGATAAGTTTCCTCATTACACTAGAGAGTGAAATTAGATAGCGCCTTTTCAATTCTCTTCTTCTAATCTAGTCTGTGTAAGAAATCCCGTCTTCTCTGTATCCTGATCACCATAACTTTCCACCGAAGATCTTGACGGAAAGAGAACTTTAATAGGAAGTGTAAGTTTGTTTTGGTAAGTAAAATCCTTACCATTGACAAGTTGAACCATGACAAGTGTTGAAACTTTCAGGAAGCTGTTGATGGATTTCCCATGAACAAATTTAGATTTTGGATTTTACTATTAGGTTGGTGCAAAAGTAATTGCAGCTTTCGCCATTACAGTATTTACAGTACCATAAATTAAATTAATTTTAGAATTAAAAGTTAAAGGAAGGTTTCTTCCTCTACTGGTAACTTTTTGAATGATCTTAAGAATGTGTGCATGCTTATGGTTGCTAAGGAAGCTTCTAATTCTGTTTATTTGAAGCAGTACTAATATTACTGTGACTCCACTTGGAAATGGACACCGTCTACCTTCACATGTTTGTTCTCCAAATCTTTGCTACTCAAAGTGTGATTATAGACCACCAGCATCAGCATCACCTGGCAGTGTGTTAGAAGTGCAGAACTACTGAATCAGAAGTGGAATTTTAACAAGATCCCTAGGTGATTTGTGCTCACATTAGTGTTTGAGATGTGCTGCTCTAAATCACTCAGATTGCTGAAAGTTTTTTTCTCTTAAAATCTCACAATGTTCTGTTTAATGTGGGGCTACCTGAATCAAAATTTATTAGTATGCAAGAAACTCCGATCTTGAGCTTGATTTCATTACTGAAAGTGTGCGTGTGTGTGTGTGTGTGTGTGTGTAGTAGGAGGAGTAGTAGTAGTGGAGAAGAATATAGCATTATCTTCAACCCATAGAAGGATGATGGTTTCTCAGATTGGCACAGGCCCACAGGAACATTTGGGTTTAGGGTGTGTTATCACTCAGTCTATTCAAGTTGCACATAGAGAGGCATAGCCAAGAAAGTAGAACTGTGGAGGAAAGCTGTGTATATGAGGGGCCATATGTGATCCAATGCTCAGCATAGGGTTAGAGTTGAAGAACTATTCAAAAAGTAAGGAGCAATTAAAAGCCATGGTCACCCATCCTGCGATGTTGTAAATCTTTCATTGTTAATCAGCTAGCCTTATAGAGTATTATTTCACTCTCTTAATTTTTGTAGTTAAGGCTTTTACAAAGGCAGTGTACTCTCATGAGCCATGGGGTGTGTTCTGACTCCTCTGCTAAGTGAGGAAAGAACAATGGGAAGGCTGCCTGCCCATTAGCATACTAGGTCCTTTTTTTGATGACCTCCTCACTCCAGTTTCAGATTTATCTTTTTTTGTTTCTTTTTTGTCACTGCTTTGACAGATATTCAGTCTCTCTTGGTGCTCCTGAGACCTGGCCTTACCTCTCAGGTGCCTGCTGCTTGTTCTCTCTTTCACTCCTCACCATTCTTCCACCCTTAAAGCTCACTCTCCATTTTCTCTCAAATTGTGATATGCAAAGTGACTTGCAAGGCTTGAGCATCTCTCTCTGTCTCTGTAATATCTGAATTTGGACAACAACAATTAAAAATCTTGACTTTCTCTAAGTAATTGCCTCTGCTGGGGTCTTTCAGGCATTAATACAGGTGAGTGGAGGAGATAATATTAAGGGAGAAGGGTAGCAGCCTGTTCTCAATGCCTCTTAAACCCTCTGCCTGGATGTTACCCCCTTTGTGCCGGGCCCAGGTGTCTGATATAGCCAAACAGAGAGTGGGAAGCTTGCTTCATGAAAGTTAAAATGTAAGGTCTTAAGAGCATAAGAAACACTAAGTTTACATTGAAGACGGTCACTGTAGACTATGGATATATATCTTTGACCACACTTCGTATTGGAACACTAAGATAGAAGAGCATTAAGTGGAGTAGGCTATGGACCTAGGGCAAGTTGGCCTCCGAGGATGGTGATGAATGAGAGGCTGAGAAGCAATTCAGTGACTCCTGGGGATGGACTCTACTCTCCCACTGACTGGTGCTCAGTTGGGCTTGAGGATCAGAAGTAAGATGTATATTCATTATTTCCATTAATAACCTAGAGATGGTTTGTATATGTCAATGTATGTTTTCTTCCTTTGTCCAAAGCAGGAAAAGGCTTACACAATCTGGCAAAACCCTTCCCTGAGCAGGCAGTGAATTGACGTGAGTCATTCCCCACTAAGGACTCTGGAGTCCAGGGAAATGGGCTGTGTCTGCCTTTTCCCCCTTTGGCCATGTTACCCCAATACATTTCTAAACTTGAGTAGATAAATTGGGGTCTTAATCTGATCTTGCAGTGAAGTTGTGTGTGTGGCTTCTGCCTGACATTCATGGCCCATCTGAGATGCTGAACTCTTCAGTCTTGAAGAGAATTATTTGGCTATGTACATTTAGAAAATATCTACATAGTTAAAAGATAGCAGACACGTATTGAGTGTTTACCAGGTTGAATACTATCTGAATTATTCGGCACAGCTTCCATATGAGGCAAATACTACTTTCCCCATTTTACAACTAAAGAAGCTGAAAGAAAGGTTCAAACTTGCCTAGAAATCACCAGGCACAATAAAGTTGTTTTACTTAGCCAGATTGTTTTACTCCAAAGCCTATGCCTTAAACATCTATGCTACTCAAATCAGAAAATGATCTTGTGTAACTTTCCTCTGTTGGTATAGAATATTTTTCTCCTTATTATATGGATTACATTAAGACACTTGCAACAAAAATTCTTAGCCCTCATTATTTTAGTTCACTCTAGGGTCACTTCTCATTCAATTCTTCATATGTCCATCTCTGGGCATTTCTATGTCTGAAAAGTTTTCAAGAAGGTGACCTATGCTGTCAGGAAACCTCCCCCTGCTCTTTCTTTTCATTTTTGGAAGCAATTATACCTTTCACTCAAGGCTAACAAAGTTAATGTAATTTATTTTAAATGGTTCATTTGGCTTGGAAACCACTTGGATATTTCTATTGAATACATTTCAGAATAAACATATTTGGAGAAAAAAATCTACATTCAACAAGTATTTGAGTTTCTACTTTTTTTTTTTTTGGTAAGACCCTGAGTTGAGAACTATGGAGCATGCAACATTCAGTACAAAGTTCTGTGACCAGAGGTGTGATGATAAATTTTGTGTGTCCACTTGCCTGGCCCACAGGATACCCAGACGTTTGGTCAAGCATATTTTGGGTGTGTCTGTGAGGCTATTTCTGGATGAGATTAACATTTGAATCAGTAGACTGAATAAAGAAGATTGCCCTCCCTAAGTCAGTTGAAGATCTGAATAGAATGAAAAGGCTGAGGAAGAATCTCAAATTGGGCATCAAAGTAACTGATGCCCAATTACTTTGAACTGGAACATTGATCTTTTTCTGCCTTCAGACTGGAACTACTGTTTTGACTCTTCTTGGGTCTCAAGTCTGTAGACTTTTTGACTGGAATGACACAGTTGGCTCTCCTGAGTCTCCCATCTGCCCACTACAGATCTTGAGACTTCTCAGCTTCTATAATTGCATGAGCCAATTCCTTGTAATGAATCTTTGTTTACATTATACTATGATGATTAAATTTATGTATCAACTTGACTAGGTTGAGGGATGCCCAGATAGCTGATAAGACATTATTTCTGAGTGTGATTGTGAGAGTGTTACTGGAAGAGATTTTCATTTGCATCAGTGGACTGAGTTAAATAGATCTGCCCTCACCAATGTGAGTGGGCATCAATCAATCCATTGACTGTCCAAATAGAGCAAAAAAGCAACAGAATGGCGAATTCTCTCTCTTCGTAAGCCAGGACATCCATTTTCTCTTGCCGTCAGACATCAAAGCTTCTGGTTCTTGGGCTTTCAGACTCCAGGATTATCAGGCTTTTGGCCTTGAACTGGGAGTTACAATATTGGCTTGCCTTGTTGTTAGGCCTTTGGACTCTGAATTACAGTGTGGACTTTCCTGGTGTTCTAGCTCACAAACGACATATGGTGGGACTTCTTGGCCTCCATAATCATGTGAACCAATTCCCATAATACATTTCCATATATATATATGTATAATGTATGTATATGTATATATATATATATTTATTTCCTATAGGTTTTATTTCTGCAGAGAATCCTGACTAATACACCAAGTGTTGCCAAACACACTCTCCAAACACATCCTTTTCTATGGAAATTGTCTGTGCTTGGAAGTCAACTTACCCAAGATGGATTAGATGAATTTCAAATAGGTTTTGTTTAATGAGTTTTGTAGGTATAAATCATGTAACAAGTCAGTCTGGGGAAATATACAATATCAATAATAATTGGACATACTTCAGTTGGTACATTGGACAAAAACCTCTTCATAGGGATCTTTCTGTAAGAGCTGTGACAAGTCTGAAAATCGGAGACAGTATTTCTATTGTTTTCTGAGCTTCAAAAGGAAGGAAGATGTTAAATGCCAAGTGTCAGGCCCCAGAGGAGGAATCATTGTTGACTAACTGATTGCAGGCCAAAACTTCTCTGGTTTGCGAAGATGATTTTTTTAATGTCTCTGAGTATGACTGTGATAGAGTTTCCATATAAGAAGTATAGAAAAGAAAACGTGTTTTCCTATGGACTTGGAGGCTGATTTTTCTAATGAACATAAGCCTTGCCTTTTCAGAATTATCAATTTCATTCTAATATAACTTTGGTTTTAATTCAGTGGAATTCATACAACATAAAATTAACCGTTTTAAAGTAAACAATTCAGCAGCATTTAGTGTATTCATCTCTATCTAGTTCCAAACATTTTCATCACCCCAAAAGGAAACTCCATACTTCTTAGAGTTGCTCCTGGTTCCTACCTCTCCATACCCCAACCCCTAGAAACTCTATGGATTTATCTATTCTAATCTGCTTTTAAAATAGTATTCTGTACAAAGAAAAGCTCACAGCATAGAACATAAGTTATGTAATGGAAGGAGTATATTTAACTTACAGATAGTTTTAATATTTGTTACAGGTACTTATAGAATTTTTATTTTTATTGTTTAGTTTCCTTTTTAAATATATGACTGACAAGAAGTAATTGTACAGGTTTATGGCATACAATGTGATGTGATATTTTAATACATGTATAAATTGTGTAATGATCACATCATGGTAATTAGCATATTTGTCCTCTTAACCATTTATCTGTTCTTTGTGATGAGAACATTTAAAAAGCTCATTTCTAGCTATTTTGAAATATACAACATATCGTTAACTCTAGTCACCTTACTGTGCAATAGACCCCCAGAACTTATTCCTGCTATCTAACTGTAGTTTTGTACCCATTGACTAATCTCTCACCTTCCCGCTTTCTCCCCTCCATCCTCCCCTCCACCATTCTACTCTCTACTTCTATAAGAACAACTTATTGGATTCCACATATAAAGGAGATCATGCAGTATTTGTCTTTCTCTGTCTGGTTTATTTCACTTAACGTAATGTCCTTGAGGTTCATCCATATTGCTGCAAATAACAGAATTTCTTTCATTTTTATGGCCGAATAGTATTCCATTATGTGTATGTACTGTGTATGTACCACATTTTCTTTATCCATTCTCTATTAATGAACATTTATGTTGATTCTGTATCTTGACTATTGCGAATGCTGCTGCAATAAACATGAGATGCAGATATCTCTTCAACAAACTGATTTCATTTCCTTTGGATGTGTGCCCAGTAATGGGATAGCTGGATCCTATGTTAGTTCTATTTTGAGTATTTCGAGGAATCTTCATACTGTTTTCTGTAATGGGTGTACTAGTTTACATTTCTACCATAAGTCCATAAGTGTAGAGTTTTATCTACACCCTCATCAATGCTTGTTATCTTTTGATTTTTTTGATAGTAGCCATTCTAACTGGAGTGAGGTGATATCTCATTGTGGTTTTGATTTGCACCTCCCTGATTAGTAATGTTGGGCACTTTTTCATAAAACAACTGTTGGCCATTTGTATGTCTTCTTTTGAGAAATGTCTATTCAGGTTTTTTGCCCATTTTTAAATTGAGTTAGTTAAATTTTTGTTGTTGAGCTGTTTGAATTCCTTGTATGTTTTGGATATTAGCACTTTATTAGATGTATAGTTTGCAAATATAGTTGCCCATTCTGTAGGTTATTTTTGCTCTGTTGATGGTTTCCTTGCTATACAGAAGCATTTTAATTTGATGTAATCCTACTTGTCTACATTTGCTTTTGTTGCCTGTACTTTTGAGGTTTTATTAAAAAAATATAATTGCCTGTACCAATGTCATGGAGGTTTCCCCTAGTATTTTCTTCTAATAGTTTCAGCTTTTACATTTAAGTTTTCAATCTTATTATGAGTTTTGTTGTAAGTTGTCATAGGTAAGGGCCTAGTTTCATTCTTCTGCAGATAATATCCAGTTTTCTCAGCACCATTTATTGGAGGCCATTCTTTCCTCATTGTGTGTACTTGGCATCTTTGTAAAAGATCAGTTGGCTGTAGATGTGAAGATTTATTTCTGGGCGCTCTGTTCTGTTCCATTGGTCTGTGTGTCTGTTTTTATGCCAGTAGTGTGCTGTTTTGGTTACTATATAGCTTTGTAGTATGTTTCAAAGTCAGGTAGTGTGATGCTTCCAGTTTTGCTCTTTTTGGTCAAGATTTACTTTGGCTATTTGGAGCCTTTTGGGATTCCATATAAATTTGTGGATTTTTTTTCTATTTCTGTGAAAAATGTCATTGGTCTTTTGATAGGAATTGAATCTGTACATCATTTTGGGTAGTATGGACATTTTAACAACATTAATTCTTTCAATCCATAAGCAAGGGATACTTTTCCATTTTTGTGTGTGCGTTCTATTTCTTTCATCAACATTTTAGTCTTAATTGTAGAGATCTTTAGCTTCCTTGATTAAATTTACTTCGAGATATTTTTGTGGTTTTTGTAAAAAAGATTGCTTTTTCAGATAAATTTGCTATTGGCATATAGAAATACTACTGATTTTTGTATTTTGATTTTGTATCATATATCTTTGCTGAATTTGTTTATTAGTTCTAACAGTTTTTTTGTCAGAGTCTTTGAGGTTTTCTTTACATAAGATTATGTCATCTACAAACAGAGACAGCCTCTTTTCCAATTTGGATACCTTTATTTCTCTTGCCTGGTTGCTTCGACTTCCAGCCCTATGTTGAATATAAGAGGTGAAAGTGAGCATCTTTATCTTTTTCCAGATCTTAGAGAGAAAACTTCCAGCTTTTCCCCATTCAGCATGATGTTAGATTTGGGTTTGTTATATATAACCTTTATTATGTTCCTTCTATGCCTAATTTGTTGAAAGTTTTTGTCATGAAGGGGTATTGAATTTTATCATGTTTTTCCTGAATCTATTGAGATGATAATATGGTTTTGTCCTTCATTCTTTTAATGTGATGTACTATGTTTATTGATTTGTATATGTTGAACCATCCTTGCATCCCAGGGATGAATCCCACTTGATCATGGTGAATAATCTTTTTGATGTGCTGTTAGATTTGATTTGTTAGTATTTTGTTGAGGATTTTTGACTTTATGTTCATTAGAGATATTGGCCTGTAGTTTTCTTTTTTGTCGTGTCCTTGTCTGGTTTTGGTATTATAGTAATGCTAACCTCTTCAAATGAGTTTGGAAGAATACTTTACTCTTCAAATTTTTGGAGTAATTTTAGCAGAATTGGTATTAGTTCTTCTTTAAAAGTTTGGTAGAATGCAATAATGAAGCCATCAGGATCTGGGCTTTTTTTTGATAGGAGACTTTTTATTACTGATTCAATTTTGATACTCATTATTGGTCTGTTCGGATTTTCTCTTTCTTTGTGGTTCAATCTTGGTAGGTTGTATGTGTCTGGGAATTTATCAATTTCTTCTAAGTTTTCCAATTAGTTTGCATCTAGTTGTTCATAATAGTCTTTAATTATCTTTTGTATTTCTGTGATGTCAGTTTTAATTATTTCTTTTTTGTCTCTTATTTTATTTATTTGTGTCTTTTTTTCTTATTCTGCTTAAAGGTTTTTCAGTTTTGTTTATCTTTTCACAAAATCAGCTCTTTATTCTGTTGATTGTTTTTGTATTTTTTAGTCTCTATTTCATGTATTTCTGCTCTGAGCTTTATTACTTCTTTCCTTCTACTTGTTTTGGGTTTGGTTTGTTCTTGTTTTTCTAGTTCCTTGGGTTGTAATGTTAAGTTGTTTATTTGAGATCTATTTTTTTGTAGGCGTTAATTGCTATAAACTTCCCTATTCACACTGCTTTTGCTGTATCTCATAAGTTTTGGTATGTTGTTTCCATTATCATTTATCTGAAGAAATTTTAAGTTGTGTTGCTTAATTTCTTCACTGACCCATTGGTCATTCAGGAGCATGTGATTTAATTTCCATGTATTTGTGTAGTTTCCTAAGTTCTTCTTGTTATTGATTTCTAGTTCTATTGCATTGTGGTCAGAAGATAATTGATATGATTTCAATTTTTGAACATTTATTGAGACTTGTTTTTTGACCTACCGTGTGGTGTAGCCTGGAGAATGTTCCAGGTGTGATTGAAAAGAATGTTCCTTGTGCTGTGTCTTCCGCAGCTGTTTGGTGAAATGTTCTGTAGAGGTCAGCTAGGCTGATTTGCTCTAGGGTGCAGTTTCAATTCCATTGTTTCTGTTTGTTTTTGTGTTGGATGATATGTTATTGCCGAAAGTGAGGTGTTATAGTTTCCTAATACTATTGGATTAGAGTCTATTATCTTTCTTTAGGTCTATTAGTATTTGCTTTGTATGTTTAAGTGCTTTGATGTCAGGTGCATAGATAAAAGACTAACTTCATATGTGAACCGAGCAATCTCCACACTACAGCACAATGTGAGTTTGTAAGGATTTCTCAACAACCCCTGGCAAGACAGGGAGGCTGCAGTTGGAGCAACTCTGGCAGGTCCTCTCAAGAAGAAAATACAGGGAAGAATGCCCTTTTGGCATCCTTCTTGGCCACATTTTGGCTGCCAGACACGTCAACATACTGCACACAAGCTTCAGGATGGGATCCACTGCTTTCCAACCATTTCAATTTTGATTAGTACAGAACCGAGAAAGTCTGTGCAAGGACTGTTTTCTATTTCTGATAGACTCTTCTCATGGTCTCTTTTCTCTTTAGCCATCAGTTATCATAGTTGTGGTTTTGGCCCATTATCTGTGTACCTTTCTTTTCTCACTTTAAAATATTCTATTCAAAACACCTAGAAATTTGACTACAAAAATCACTGGTATTTTAATATATGTGGATTCTTGGCTGTGATGAGCTCGTTGCTCTATTTTCCAAGCTGAGGTGGTTATGTATAGATGAGGGATGTCCACTTATTTACCTCATTTCACACCCTAAGTGTGAGGGGCCATTTGTAGTTGGTGGCAATTTTCCTAGAACCAGAGAAAAAAGTTGTTGAAAAGTGGAAATTGCCCAGTCTGGAAAACTATTTCTTGAAGATTAGGAAGGGAAAGCACATATGCTTCACAGGCTTCACAGGCTGTTGGATGGCCATTTAAAGGGTGATGTTTGTAACTCTTGACCCTCTCTACAGATTCATGTACAGGAAAAACTGCCTCACTCAAATAGGGAGAAAGATCTTATGCTGTATAGGGCTGTGCATTGTGTACGCTCTGCATCTCTATTATGGGCCTTTCAACAAAGAATTGATGTCAAGGGCTTCCTCCCAAGATTACCAACTCTTTTCTTTCCTTTTCTGTACTTAAACCTATAATATATTATATTTGAAAAACCACCAGAGATGTTTATAGTCAGTTTCCTAACCAGTTGAAATCTCCCTCCATGTAGGGAGGGAGACAACCATCTGTCTGGTTGTCTTGGTTCTTTTTTCTGCATGGAAAGAGGCAAATGATCTGTCCTAATTAATTTGGGCTGCTGTAATAAACTCCCATAGACTGGGTGGCTTATAACCAGCAGACATTTATTTCTCCCAGTTCTGGTGGCTGGGAAGTCCAAGATTAAGACACTGGCAGATTCAGTTTCTGGTGAGGGCCCACTTCCTGGTTCATAAAGGACCATCTTGGTGCATCCTCACATGGTGGGATAGAAAAAAGGTGTGCTCCCAGGCCTCTCTTATAAAAGCACTAATCCTATTCATGAAGGCTCCATCTCTATAACCTAGTCACCTCCTAAAGTCATCACCTCCTAATAACATCACCTTGGCTGTTAGGATTTTGATATAAGCACTTTGGGAAGACACAATCATTTAGTCCATAGCATGATGCTTCTTCATTGCCAGTTTTCCAGACTTACGAATATAAAAATCATGTCCTCTGAGGTCCTCTACAGGTGTTGCCTAACCAGTGAGGATGAAAAAATAATCACTTCTCATTGCTATTCAATCGGGCAGCATGGCTTTTGCACTAGTGACATCAGGAATTGATTCCCTCCTATTGGGTAGTTTAGTGAAACCTTAAAGGTCTTGTTTCAATTGATAATACTATCTCCTGACTTTTCCTTGATGCTTTACAGTTTACAAAGTATTTTCACATGTCTCATTTGGCATCAAAAATAATTCTGATGCAAGCAGTGAAGATGTTAGTGTATGCATCTTATTGACAGGGAAACTAAGCATCAGAGAACTTCAGCTGCCAGGGCCATATCACCACCACATCCAGTGCTCAAAGAACAGGTGGTTTCTAAACTTCTGTATTATTTTTAATCAGGAATCCACTTTGGGCAACTGTTGTCCAAGTCAGGTCCCCCTAACTTGTACTCGTGCAGTTGATTTGCTGGAACTAAATGCATCCTGTTAGATTTTAATGACAATTTTGTAATGCAATAAAATCAAGGAAACAAGTCTGTGTTTTCCAGAACCAAACTTAAAATTTACTTTAGAAAACAACATTTGTCCTTCTCCAGTCTTCTTTCTTATACTATTTCTTGAGATCACAACTACATAGATTTGTCCTTTCCTCTTTTTAAAAAAATCTGGGCACATTAATTAATTAGCTAATTAATTAATTAAATTATTATTATTTTTGAGACAAGGTCTCTCTCTGTGTCCCAGGCTGGTGTGCATTGGTGTGACCATGGCTCATGGCAGCCTCAGCTTCCAGAGTAGCTGGGACTACAGGCACACACCACCATGTTAATTTTTAAATTTTATTTTTGTAGAGACAGGATCTCACTATTTTGTCAGGGCTGGTCTCAAACACTTGGCATCAAAGAATCCTCTTGCTTCCGTCTCCCAAACTGCTGGGATTACAGATGTGAGCCACTGTGCCCGGCCCACATTAATCTATTCAAATAACTGATTTATTCATTTCAATTTCCTTACTTCTTTTGCATTTCTATTTTTTCCTACCTCTGTTTGTTCTACCTTTCTGAGTTTAAAGGCATAATCTGCATTAAAATGCATCAACATTGATTCATCTTTTTCCAGATGCCCTGTACACCCACAGAGATTTTCACTCTTGTTTCTCTAGTTTCCCCCCTCATTCCAATCCCCCTACCCATGTTTCCAATATCAAATTCATGGCTTTTTATACATGCATGTATCTTCTTTCCATAGAGTGTACAACTTATAACAATGAACTCTATTCAAATCTGATAGCATGCAAGCTAGATTACAATAAAAACATATGTTCATATGAAGAGGCCACAGTCTTGAGGATTTTAGAGTGATTATTATGGGACTGCAGGCTTCTGTTATTAGATGAAATGTTAGGTAAGTTAATTGTATATTTTAAGTCTTATTTTGAGAATAATTTATTTGATGTCATTTGAAAAAACTTGAACACGAAAAAACGATCTGAGAAGATAAATGACACGTTTACAAGTTGGTTTGTAGGAAAAATATCTATTTGCTATGGATCTTGAAGGCCAAAAGTATGTAGTTTCAGACGTTTGGATTTAAACTCTGGATTCAAAAGTTGGGGCAAAACTGAAAGCTTTTGAAGTTTGTGTGGTTTTGGCTCCAGAAATGTTGAGTTTTGCAAAGTATATGGTTTTGCTCTTATTTCCGCTAATGTCCACACTTATTACAATGAGAGGACAGAAGAATTTTATCTTCTTACCTAGGCTGCCAAATACTTTTTAAGAAAGATATACATTTCTCAGGAAATAATGCTTTTAAGTTAAGGGAAAATATTTTGCAAATATCTTTACCAAAAGTTGATGATACCAAAATTTACATAGATAAATGTCTTCATACCAATACTCAAGATGTGTGGTTACATAAAATACCTTGACTAAGTTCTCATGTAGATTATTGTATTCCTTTTAATCTGAGCAGTTTCTTGCTTAATGTATTGTTTAATGTGTCTGATAAATGGCGAAAAGGTCTTACAATCAAATTATGTACCATTGAAAATTGTCATTTTATTATAAATATAGTCTATTACATATAAACTCTACAAGGTAGGCGTCATTCGATTAACCAACTTAAATGCTTACATCATTCCCTAGAGTATTCAGAGTAAGTGTTGGGCCAGGGCTTCAATGTGTGCCCTTTTTCATTTTTAAGGAGTCTGCATTTTCACACTGCAAAGGATTTAATTCTCTCAAGTATTTGTGTCGGGCATCTCTACTTTGAGCTTACAACAGACTTGACATCTCTATTAAGAAAGGAAGTCAAAATACAGCACATGGAAAACAATTGATGATGGAGAATAGCAAGTGAAGAAAAAAAGGCCACACTCTGAGTTCTAATGAACAAAATGCATTCTTATCAAACACATTTGCAGAATGTCCATGACTCAATTTTTGGAGGTTTGGTTGCTATCTTTGCCTCCCTTGCCCCAGGTGGAGACTGTAGTCTCTTCTAAGCTAAGGGAGAAGGGAGAATGTGGGTTAAGACAGCCCCGAAGCCAGCAAGCAGCCTTTATATTCAGGTGTACAGCATGCACTCTGAGTTCTTATTAGAGGACATATCTAATATGTATTTTTTTCTCTCATAAATTTATATTTTCCTTTCCAGGAGAAAAGCAAAACTGCCACAGTGATGTGCAGATAAAAGAAAAACATTGTTTGAATAAAAACTGAGTTGTTCTGGTGGAGGCCGTTGCTCATTCATCTTGACTTTAGACACTTGACTAGCTTGCAAGCCTCTGCTTTTTTGTAATTTGATCAATGATTCAGGCTCCCTCCAGACCTTCTCTCTCCTTCACCTCCTGCTTCTGATTGCTATTGATTGCTTTCTCCCTAATGCATTGGAACAGTATCCAATAGGACTTTCCAATTTGATGTGGAGCCTGAGCAGGCATGCTTCAAGAACTTCCCTCTGTGCGTCCCCAACTCTCTCTGGTTCCTCTCTCCCACCCTAACTCTCTTCTTTAGTATCACCCAGATTTGTATTTACAGGAGCTCACAGGCTGTTCTGCAAGCTGTCTGTCTGCTGCCTCACCCCTTTATCATAGCAACTACTGCCACACTATTTCGTTAAAACGATGCTTGGAAGCCAGGCCACTCGAGTGTGCAGTAAGTTGAATTGCAACTGCTTCCTGCTGTTCCTGTGATAGATAGTACCATAAAATGGAAGTGATGTGGTTATTAGGCTGTGATTCGGTTCATACTGAGCTGTATTGATTGGTGTTGGTTCAGTGCTTGCTATACATTTTATCAATTGACCTTCTAGATTGTATCCTGCCTTTGCTTCTTTTACCTCTAATTCTACTTTATCTCCAGTTTTGTGGCTCCTAATTTTCTTTTGGCTGATTTCTTGTAGTATTTCTTTAGTTTTCTATTACTCAGAAAGACTTTTCTAATGAAACCATATTTTCCCTCTCACCATGCTTATTTACTTATTTATTTATGTAGCTGAGTCGAGTCAGTCTTTGTTATTCTGGGATACCATTTCTGTCCTTTGAGTTTCCAAGTTTTAAAATATTTCTGACTGCACACAGGACTTTTCCTGAAACTTTCCAGTCCCTCAAACTAGCTGGCAGAGCTCAGCAGAGGACGATTTGATTGCATAGGCTCGAAGTCCTATTTGCAGTTATTCTCCATAACAAGCAGTCAGCCAGCCTTCTTTTGCCCTAGTGCCATCTTTTCATTTTGAAGTTCTTTCTTTCTTACTTTTTTTTTTCTTAGTGAGGGTTCTGGGAATTTCTTCAAGTGTTTGTATAAAAATATTAGATAATTAAGCAAAGATAGATATGGAACATAGGAACTTTGTCTGCAGAGAGGGGAGACACGAGGAGAAAGGGGGTAGAAGACGGAAAATGGAGGAGAAAAAGGAGGGGAAATGTCAAGGGAAGAGGAGCAAGCAAAGCTGTTTGAGAGAGTGGGGACCAAGACAGATGTGACCCCTGTGTAGGAGGCTGGATAGAGTTATTTTTGGAATAGAAATATATATGTGAAGATAAAGGGACAAGAGTGAAGGTAAAGAGGGGAGGGGTTGATGAAGTCAGTGTTGGGAAAGTGAGATGAGCATATTTTTATAGATTGTAAACCCATCAGGGAAAGCACATGTTTAGTATACTGCTGAGCACCTTGTCAGGTACCTTATAATTAATAATAATTGCAGCCATTATTTTAAAAAATCACGGAGAAAAATTTGTGTACCTTGAGGAACAGTGTTGTGACACTGCATTACCTACAATCAGTAATTTTTCAAACACTTGATTCTTATGTTTATTGCTTTTATTTTTCATGGAGGCAGGAATTAAATAAAATATATGACCACTTGTTGCCTCTGACACCAGGCAAATATTATTTGACCATTTTGTTTGAAAGGAAATGAGATTTTTATGGCTAGTTTTGTTTACTATGAACCAGGTTGGTTGTGCAAAGTAATTTCCATCTGAATAGTTCTTAGTGGCCCAAGTGGAATTAATATATCTCTTTGAAGACCAACACCTGCTTACCTGAAATTAATTTCTAAATAATAATTTACTAGTCCCTTGTATAATTTACTAGATACTAGTTCCTTGTATCAACCACAACAAAGTGGGTAAGGAGTGATGTCATGAAGCCAAAGGGTTTTCTGTTCCCAAGGAAGCACTTAAAACAAAAAAAAAAGACTCATTAGTATTTATTTATTTATTTATTTATTTATTTTTAAATTTCCAACTTTTATTTTAAGTTCATGGCACATCTGCAGGATGGGCAGGTTTGTCGCATAGGTAAACATGTGCCATGGTGGTTTGCTGCACAGATCATCCAATCACTTGTTAAGTGATTGGTGTTAAGCCCAGCATCCATTAGCTATTCTTCCTGATCCTCTCCCTCCTCCCACTCCCCACCCTCCACCAGACCCCAGTGTGTGTTGTGTCCCTCCATGTGTTCTCATCATTTAGCTCCCACTTATAAGTGAGAACATGTGGTATTTGATTTTCTGTGCCTACACTAGCTTGCTAAAGATAATGGCCTCCAGTTCCATCCCTTCAAAGGACATGATCTTGTTCCTTTTTATGGCTGCATAGTATTCCATGGTGTATATGTACCACATTTTCTTTATCCAGTCTATCAATGATGGGCACTTACGTTGATTCCATGTCTTTGCTGTTGTGAATAGTGCTGCAATGGACATATGCGAGAAGCACTTAAAAAAAAAAAGACTAAAATAGTCCCGAAATAAGGCAACATCTCCTGTGTCTTTATCATAACACATGGATGCACAAAGCTGCTTTGCAATGATCAACCCACTCCATGTGTGAAAACATGTGTAACTTTATGTTCCTTCATAATGTGCCTGTGAAATGGTTAAGGAAGAGTCTCTGCTTTATCAATTGAGAGACATTTTAACCTCCTGTTTCATTGACTGTTCCATATCAAGGGACTCAAATGGGGACCTGGGACACCAATGGATGGCCCAGATATTTCTAGTGTTTTTTTGAAATTGGAGCTATCCTTGGGCTTTGCAAGCACAGGCCACCTCAGTGCACTCCTGCTTTGGTCAGCTACAAGGGGCTTTCTTTACCTGGGCCTTTGACCAGACATTCATTTGACACTCTCCTTTTCATTCCATGAGCATGGAGGTAATGACTTTCTCTGTTTTCTTCCAATTAACACCCCATGAAAAGAATGGGGTGGCATCAACTTTCTTCCCATTCTCCTCCGAGTTTGCTTATAATTGGACTGGATCATTGTATATTTTTGTCAAATTGAAGAACTTGTTTATGCTTTCAAAATAATCCCCTTTTATTATTTACCACAATGACCTCTTTTGCCCTTGAAACTGAAGGCAAACAGCCTTTCTTAATGTGTGAGAACATAGATGTCATCTTGGTGAACTTGACAATTTGTTCAACTGGGATGTGGAACCAACTATAAAAAAAGCAACAATAAGGCCTTCACTAGCATTCCCTCATTATCAGGTCTGGCTTGTGGAGGGCTGAGGCCTAGCAAAAAAAATAGTTTGAAGCATCTAAGTTGTGCTTCCTCCAGCAAAGTCCCTGGAAAGGGCCAGATTACAGAACTGCTGGACTTCGGGGAGGTACCAAGGGATTTATCATAACACTCAACGAGGAACTGCAAGCTTAGAAAAGGGCCTTGTTTTTACCCTGTCTGGGGAGGGGAGATTTGTAGACTACTGTGGAGGGTTGGAGGACATTTATTCATAAAACCCACCATGGTTTTCGTTCCTCAAACTGTTGTTGAAACTCCATGTTCAGCAAATAGAGTCATTCCTGCTAATAACCCTTGGGGTACAGCTCAAGCCTAACCTCCATTGTCTTCATTCAAACCTATCTGAGGATGTACAGGCAAAGAAATCTTCTGGTCACTCATTTTAACTACATGCAAGTTAATCTTGCTGAGAATTCTGGAACTAGCCCACCACATGACTTCTTTCTTGCCTTTATGGCTGAAGTCCTCAGGTTCATGTGTGAGTGAAAAACTAAGAAATATACAGACCAGGGTGTATTATATTCTCAAATTGCTTCCTTATATTTCACTTAGATTTTCTAGTTGGGCACCATGGTAATTGAAATGGGGTTTGTTCATAGTTATTTTGTGATAATGAGGGAATGCTAGTGAAGGCCTTATTGTTGCTTTTTTTATAGTTGGTTCCACATCCCAAAATATTAGAATCCTTGGAAGAAAAATAGTCAAAACACAAATAAAAGAGATTTATACTTTAGTAGTATGAATATAATGCTGCTGGTACACTTTTACTTCTCAAAACTATCTGTTTATTTTTAAATAAGTGATAACATTATTACTAGTTAATGCATTTTTATTGCGGAGATAAATAATTCCTTAAAATGTGATGGGAGTACTGCTGTGAGTTATTCTCATGCCAAATATGATATCACAATACTGACATGATAAGTTGGAATCCCTACTAAGGAAGTTGATACAATTTTTTAAGGAAAAGACACAGACAATGGGCCTCTGCATCCTTTCTGGATCTTCATTCTGAGGCTCAGGCCAGAACCATCATTTGTATGTCTGAGACAGAGTCAATAGTAGGATTCAGTATCATTCCTTGAAGTCACTGTATACTGACATTGCATAAGATGTCCTATTGGTAGCTGAAATTGCTGTTTAAGATCTGATTTCACTCCATGTCATGATGGCTCAAACATTCATAGAGAAGAACCTCAGTTGTTTAAAAATAACAGTTTTCCCGGGACTCGTGGTGGAGTTTCTTAGGCTTTTCTGTAGAAAAAGTGTAACAATGCCTCTCACACTGTTTTTGATTTTAAGAAATTATCACTATAATATAAAATATTGAGATGATTAATTTTGTGTTAACTTAGCTAGGCCACAGTGCCTAGATATTTGGTTAAACATTATCCTGGAACTTACCGTGAAGGTGCTTTTTTGGATGGAATTAACATTTAAATTAGTAGACTTTGAGTGAAGCAGATTGCCCTCAAAATGTGGGTAAGTCTCATCCAATCAAATTGAAGGCCTCATTAGAAAAATATTTACCTCCCTGGAAGAAGAGGGAGTTCTGCCAGCAGACTGTCTTTGGACTTGGACTGAGTACGTCTCTGGGTCTCCAGCCTACTGGCCCACCCTGCAGATTTTAGACTTGCATCTCCACAGTCGTGTGATCCAGTTTTAAAAATACCCCCTCTCTCCATACACATATATGTGTACACATATATACACATATACATCTTGTTGATTCTGTTTCTCTGAAGAACTCTACTAAAACAAGTATTATCAAAATTAAAAAGGAGCTTGAAGTCATGTAGCCTAATGTTCTTCTTTTTAAAGATGAGGAAAAGAGATATTCAGAGAAACAAGTGAATTTACCTAAATTACCCAGCCAAGGAGTTACACTTCCCATATATCATATTTATTGCATATATAAGTAAGCAACAACTTCTCTTCTTTAAGCAACAATACTTAAAGCAGAGAGAATATATGAGTATAGGTGACTGTCTGAAGTTTTTATATAAAGATTGCTGTTAGTGGGTAGATTTGATGAGTGATCAAATACGGCTTACTCTAGTGCTGTTTGTCCACCATTGAATTTAGCACAGTTATCACTGGTTGTCCTTGAAGAAAAGCAAAAAATTAGAAAAAGTTAACCTGCACTAAACTCTGACCTAGTTCAGAAATGCCTTCGATAAAACTTAACAAAACAATTACTTCAAGCATGTATCTGAGGGAACTGGCTTCATTTCAATTTATTTAGGGTTCTTGAAGTACTTTAAAAGTATGCCTTAAAATCCCATTTCAATTATCTTTAATAAGATCAACTTGTCTGATATAGATGCAATATGAGAGGCAGAGCAAAAAATACTTCCCTTTTCAAATAATTCTTTCTAAAACGATTACGGTCCATTTTCTTAAAACCACCTCAGGGTGGTGAGTCATGTTTGTCATTTTAACTTTCTTCTGTCTTAGGAAGAACTCAGATGGAATATCTCTTGGCTCCAAGATGATTTCTTTAATGAATATCTGATGGTGGGAACTTGCTAATAACACTATGATAAAAAGGCAGTATTTTTGTCCCAATCTCAAGGATATATTCCTGGGAGTAACTTGAGAGCATTTTTGTACATGATTATTATTATTACTTTTAATTTTGTAATAACTTTAGATGCAGATAAAGCTTGGAAATATAGTGCAAAGAATTTCCTTAAACCCGCCATTCAGGAGGGATACCAATGTTATAATATTTTTCCATATTTGCTTTATTTCTTTCTGTCTCTCTCTGTCTCTGTCTCTCTCTCTCTCTCTCTATCTGTGTGTGTGTGATTTTTTCTGAACTCATTAAGAGTAAGTTGCAGACATAAAGCTCTTTTTATCACTAAACATTTCAGTGCATATTTCCTAAAATAAAGGCATTCTCTCAAATAACAATAGTATAATGATCAAAATCAGGAAATTAAGCTTGATGTAGTAATATTATCTAACATACAGAGCTTATTCAATTTCATCAATTGTCCCACTAATGTCCTTTATGGCAAAAGAAAAATAATTTTGGTTCAGGAGGCAGATTGAGTTTTAAACTTTAACAATGAAAAAGTCAATGGTTAAAGGTTTGGGTGGAAATTAACCATATTCCTTCTCCCCCACTCCAATTCTACTCCCCCCATATGAATCAGGATCAACATTTCTGTATTCTTCAGTGTTATCTATAGTCATACTCCTACACACATGTAAAGTGTATTTGTTTCTTTTTGAGTTTGTGAAAAATAAGAAATTTACCACAAGCATTAATGCATCATGGCTTTTTCATTCAGTTGCACATTAGGAACATCCTATGAGAGAAACAGATCTATGTAACCCTGTTGTATTTGTTTTTAAAGATCCTTAAAATCAAAGTAATATACACATATTGTTAAAGGCACATGTCATTAAAGGCTTATAATTAAGAACACTGGTATCTTTCTCCACCAGTCTCACTTCTAAAAGAAAAATAGTTTCAATTATTTTGTTTATATCAATTTTGCTTATATTTTGATATATGCTTATATCAATTTTGCTTATATTTTGTTTATATTTTGATATATATTTATATCAATTTTCTTTATATTTTGTTTATATCAAAATAATTGAAACTTTATTATAAATGATATTCTTGTACTACTATTGCTTGGGTCACCATTTTTAGAGGTATTTTATCCACTTCTTTCTACAGTACTTGAGAATTTGGTCTTTCTCTCTCCTCTGTCCCTCACCCTATTTGCTGCCCTTCCTTTCCAATGTAATTATATTTCAAATTTTTTTATTAATAATATTGTTAAGTTTACATTTTATGATTATAAAATAGCATAATATTTCATGAAATATAACTTACTCCAAGTCACATATTAAAACCTATGTCTGAGGATTTTGTCTTCTAAAACATTTGTTTTCCTGCTGTTAAAAATTGTCTCAAATTTTTTGTTTGCTTAGTTCATATGACACTGATTCTAATTCTCCTCTTATTCCCAATGACTTCAATACAACTACCAGGTGAATGGTTAGATCCTTATTTTTCCTCTTTTGCTTTCTTTCTCACTTGCTTCAACCTGGACAGCTTTCTTTCAGGCATCCTGCACAACTGCTGTCCTGGGACTTCCTTTTGCCTTCATTCAGGAGATTATCTTATCCTTTCTCCCATATTGAATATGCTCTTACCCGGGCCCAATCTTCCTCTTTATTGATTTACTCTCTCATTTTGTTGATGCACAACTTTCAATAGCTTTCTTTGTAGAGAAGCTTGGTATACTTTTTGAAATACTTCTTGTTTCGTGTCTAAAATTCTTTTTAGATAAGCAAATGTTAAGGGAATTCATTATCACCAGACCTGCCTCACCAGAGGTCCTTAATGGAATGCTAAACATGGAAAGAAAAGACCATTGTTAAGTCAAGTTTAGCCTAAAGCTGCCTCCTTACATACTTTAATTTTGGGCTAAGAGTTTCTCTGTACATACTGAACTATAACAAGCAGAGGTATAAACAGGCTAGCCTACACTTGTGCCAATCACCGAGTTTTGGCCAATCAAATGTAGCCCACTGTTCAAACCATGTTCACATAAGCAAACGAGGAGCTGTAACCAATCCAGTTGTTTCTGTACCTGACTTCCATTTCCTGTATGTCACTTTCCTTTTTCTGTCCATAAATCTTCCACCACGTGACTGCACTGGAGTCTCCAAGCCTGTGCTGGCTGGGAAAGCTGCTTGATTCGTGAATTGTTCATTGCTCAATTAAACTCCTTTAAATTTAATTTGGCTGAAGTTTTTTTTTTTTTTTTTCAGGTGGCGTCAGAAGTGGGATCTGAAGTAGAGCTTCTAATGACCTCTAGGAGTGCTGAGTGACCAAGTGAGGTACCTGCAGGACCCTTTTGTGTTCAGTGATCTCTTGGAGCAGCTGGGGATCATGGTAAGTTCTCTTTCAGATTTTGGAGCTCCACAGGTTTGTGTTTTGAGCTCTCCAAGTTTCTTTGAGCAAATTTCTGATCCAAACTGGGTTTGGAAGTCACAGTAGAAACTAAACTGGATCCAGGATTGGATTTAATCTGGCAGTTAACTGGCTTGGATCCAGTTAGAGGCTGCTTACATCTGACTGGGTCAGGAAGAAGCTGGTAGTAAATGGTAATATTGCAGGGGATATAAAATTTGGCTTTTGGAAATTCACAGGGATTTTGTGTTCTACTCCTTTGTTTCATTTTTCTTGCATGCTTAGGTAGGAAAAAAAATCATTGGCTAAGTTAATCAAGGGAACTTGAGAGCAAAGCCATTATCTTAAGTAAAAATGGGATTCTTAATTTCTGAAGAGCTGAGTTCCTTCTGGCTTATACATGTGTGTTAGGCCCCAGAAGCAGTGAAGTCTTACAGAAATGGTAAAATCTTACTAAGGATAACTTATAGTGGAATGTTCCAAATGAACAACAAAACACTGAAGTGCATTTGAAAATGAGGGCTCCCAGATTAGTTTCATCTAGGGATGCCTATTGATATGCAGAAGCTTCTAAAAGTATTTCAGTATTTTTATTTAAAGACTTTACGAAAGGCAAGTATAAAGCTTAAGCGACGAATTGATTACAAAAATTAAATCTGCTAACCTTTTAGCTTAGTTACATCTAAAGGAAGTAGACTGCAGCAGCAATTGGCTAACTTTGGGTAAGTAATATGGTACATTTTACCTGGGTAAAGGATGGGATTGGGTTACTGGCCTGCCCCTAGGTAAAGTCCCTTTTGGTTAAAAATGGATTTGGCACTATGGGATGTTAACCACTATTCTCTTTGAATTAATCTGCCTTGCCATCTTGATAGGATTAGGCATGTACAGGATCATGGGACATAGGGAACCTTTTTTTTCCCTAAAGGGGAAGCTTAAGAGCTGGTAGGACTGGTGGAAAAGATCCCTGCATGACTGACAAGTGACAAGTGGCTGCCTGGAGTTTTGATTCAGTATCACTGCAATGAGTGGGTCTTTCTCTGGCCACCCTGAGTTTCTTACCTTCCCCACCCTGCCACAGGCAATGCCTTTTTCCCTTTCTCTCTTTTCCTTTTCTTATCTTTTCTGTTACCCAGGGCAACCATCTTGCCCAGAGTCCACATGTTGAAACTCCTTTATCCACTTTGAATGGATTAAAGATGACAGGACCCATCTGGGGGCAAGTTTGAGTCTGGCCAGTTTGATATTGGGCACTAAGCAGAGTGGCTAATGTCCATGTTTTGTCACACATATTTTGCTCTGGCTGGAATGGAAAATGGTAATTTGCTTACCCCATGCAACCCCTTGGACAGCATCTTACAAAACTGAGAGACTGTTGCCTGTGGTTCCATGAAACAAACAAACAACAAAGATTTTCTTTTGTCTTGCAGCTTGACCTCCACGGCTATAGTGTGGTGAACAGGCTCAGTAGGGCTGCTCAGAGAAAGGGAATCCAGAAGCCTGGCATGCTGGCAAAAGGGTAAGAATTTCTTACCAGTCAGACTTCTCACCTCTCTCTTTCTGTGCAAAATGGTTGGATGAATGGTAAAAATCACTGTTTATCTCTTCTGTAAAGTTCTAATTAATATGAAAAAAGGCTTCTGAGGCTAGACCTAAGCTGTAGCAAATGCGATGTGCTTTGTGTGTCTTCTGTATGGTTTTGTCATAAAGAGGAGTATGTTAGGATAGAACATGGGCTTAGGACCCCATAAGCTCACTATTCAAGATGGCCCAGCAAGCTGGTCAGTAACAAACTTTGTTGCAGTTACCTGAAACAAACAAAAAACTGGATGAGGTTTCCATCTTGTTTTATGTCCTTGGGAATTTGACCTCATAACCATGTGGCAATACTTTCTCTTGGTCTCTGCCATGTAAGGAACAGGAATTGGGGGATTCATGTCATAGCCCTAAAAATTATTGAACAGTAAAAGCCTTTGTGACCACACCACTGTACTCCAGCCTGTGTAACAGAGCAAGATCTTGCCTTTATTAAAAAGAAAGAGGCCTGGTACTGTGGCTCACATCTGTAATCCCAGCACTTTAGGAGGCCGAGGCTGGCACATCACTTGAGGTCAGGAGTTCAAGACCAGCCTGGCTAATATGGTGAAACCCCATCTCTACTAAAAATACAAAACTTAGTATTGGGCATGGTGGCACATGCCTGTAATCCCAGCTGCTCTAGTGGCTGAGGCAGGAAAGAACCACTGAACCCAGGAGGTGGAGGTTGCAGTGAGCCAAGATTGCTCCACTGCACCCCAGCCTGGGCGACAGAGCGAGACTCCATCTCAAAAAAAAAAAAAAAAAAGCTTTTGTGAGCTCAAAATTAACTGCTCTACTCTAGGCTCCTTCTGGGAAGAGCAATGGAAACTACCCAGTTTTGTACTTTAGTAGCTAAGGCTTTGCCTTTTCACAGTGGTAGCCCGGGTTCAGTCTTGGCTTAGGGAATGAGTCTTTTTTGGTGATGTCTGCATGACTTTTACCATTTGTTGAATCTCTTCCCCTCCATGAACCGTCTTGAATTTTCCTCTCTCTCAGCACCTAGAAGGTTACCTTTGGTAAAATTCAAAAGCCAGAAATATTGGCCATTTGGCCTGGCTAAAGTCAGGTAATAAGAGGATTTAAAAGGACTTTTAGAGTACTATGGTTAAAAGCGGATAGATCCCTCTCAAAATTTAAAGCTCTGTTTTGTTTTACATTGCGTTATCTGACAATTTTTGACTTTTGGGGGTATCTTTGCATTATGAGAAAGCTTTGGTGTATAATATATACTTTTGGGGATAGCTAATGGCAGTTGGGGGGAATACTCAACTCTTTGCACCTTTGAATCACAGAAGCATGCTCTTGGCCACCTAGAAAGTATGGAAATGTCCCTACCCCCACTGAGATAAGACTCCCATGGGGGATGGGTTGATCACAGAATCGGCTGATTGGCTTTGGGTTGCTTTGTAATAAAATGCATGATAAAAGCATTGCATTGTCTTCTCCCATAGCATTTCCCTCTTTTTGGGGATCCAGGATGTGATATAAAAGTGGGACCCTTACTTTTGGAGATCTGTTTTTGTCTTCCAGCTGTGCCCACTTATTAGGCTGTGGAAACTGCATGATTTCCTGATTCTGTTCCTCCAAGGGCACCACCCTAAAGCCAGTAATCCAATTAAGAAACTGGTAAACTAAAAATCTTACAACTACTGGATCTTCTGTCTGTCTGTGTATTTATATGTATGTGCTGTGTGTGTGATGTTTATATGTAAAAAAGCTCTGATTAGTTGGCTTAAAAATAATAGGTGTTTAAATCATATATTGTCAGAAAAGTAAAAAGTGTAATGCCTTTTAGTTCATGTGACTTTAGTAATCTTTGGAAAATAAAAACAATTTTAAAGATTATTGGTAAAATAAAGACATTTGGTCTAAATTACACAGGTCAGATATTAGGTTTACTCAATGCTTTAATGTCATAAACCGCTTCTTTGGCTTTTGAAAATTTTTCAGCTTGTCTGCTTTACAGCTAGGTAAGACCTGGGGACATATGGAGTTAGCCGTTAGCCATACCCCTAGCTATGCTGGAAAAAGTCAGACCTTACCTGCACTTCTGTCTGGTGTTCTAGGCTCCAAACCTAGTACATAATTAAAATTGCTTACTAACCATTTTTTCAAAATTGCTAAGAGTTAATAATGTAGCATGTAATTGAGACTACTGAAGAAACAGTTTTACATGCAAGGTGTGTAAGGGAAGTGAAATGTGTTTTTGGTGAAAGCGTATATGAAGGTATGTTAATGTGGATTTTTTTTGACCTAGATTAAAGGGTTAAAGGATTGCTTTTAGTTGGGATAAAGCTGAAGGTTTGAGCTAGTTATGGAAGGTTTGTGAAAATCGATCTCGTAAAAGAAATTCTGTGTGTAAACACATTGGCTAACATTAAAGGAGTATTATTCAGTATTTTCCATAAATTGAACATTGGAACAAAAACACAACAGGGTTTTCTTAGGGCACTGACTTGCTTTTTAACAAGAATTTGTAAAGGGTTATAAAAGGTTTATGAGAATCTCACCTTTTGATGATGAAGGCTGAATAGATTTATCTATAAGGTTTTATTAAAAATTGAGATTGACATTAATAGTACCCTAATGCAAGGGTGAAATTTGACTTTCTCTCTTGAATAAGATTTTCATGTAATATTAAGTGATAATAAAAAAATTTTGTTTCCCTTTTAAATAAACTACCAAAAATAAGAAGGAAAAGACAAGAGACGTATTGTTTGGAAAGCTAAGTCTTCCTTCTATCAATGAGTAAAGGTTTTTGCCTTTTTAAAATTTTTGAGTCATCACTTTGGCTAAATGAATGGTGACCTGGAATTCTATTTCATAATATCAAGTGTTTTAAACCTTTAACGTATTTAATAGGCTTTCAAAAATCAAATTTCACCTTCAAAATTGTCTTTTCTAACCTCTAACCTTGAGATGCTGCAAAGGGTCCCGAAGCATTCAAAAGAGAGGTCAACAGTATTATTTGACATGTTAAATTACACGGGAAGCATTGCCAAAATAAAAAATAATGTTTAATGTTCTTCAGGTTATGTTTTAGTGAATGATATTAATATATGTTCCAAAATTATATGGGATTTCTAAAATTCTAACATGTCTGAGCATATGCTATCAATCATAATTATGATTATTATGTTAAGTTATTGTAGACCACAGAAATGACCATATTTTTTGTCAATTGGGTTTTTAACTATGACTGTTTAAAGTCATTTCCACAGTTAGATGTTTAATGCTGATGCAGTTTCTGCAAACTTCACAAGCATGTAAAATCCTAGAATATGGTATCTCCTAAGAGGTTCATGAAAGGAAGGAAAGGAAACCTGTATTCAAAGCACTCTTGAATACAGGTTTCTGGTAACTTTAAAATCATCGTTTGGACTGTGTAAGAATTCCAGTCTCTAATGAAAAGACTGACTGGTTTATAAAACTGCTAACCCAAATAGAACAAAAATTAATTGAATACCAAGAAAATACTTAGCTAGATTTTTATGCTAAGTCAGCTGATACTGAAATTGTTTAGATATACAATTTGAATGAACTCCATGGTCTAAGTCAAATTACCTATGATAACCTATCAGTTATCAGTACTATGCACCTAAATTGGAGAAATGACCGGTATTCAAGAGAACTTAGATCCAATGTTAAGCATAGACTCATGGAGAACCAGAATGGCTGCCTTGCCCTTTCTGAGTCCTTAAAGCTTTTATTATTAAAGGTTCTGCATTCCATGACTCATCATGGAATAGATAAAATGATCCAAATTAAATATATATTGGTTCGGTGACTTCTAAATTGCTAAAATAGTTTATGACCAATGTTTAGTTGGTTAAACCCATATTCCTGGAAAGACAATCAAAGCTTCAGTACATTTGGCTACCTGATGGGCCATTTAAAAATTTATAGAGGGATTTCATTCAATTGTCATTTTCAATACATGTTTTCTGCTTGTAAAAAAGCTTTCCCATGCAAGAGGGCTGATGTTATAACAGTAGATTATTATGCCATAGACTATTTTCACCAGGTAAAGAATGCTTTTTATGGTTCACTGACTGAGGACAATCAGCTCCTTCACAGTCTAGAACCCGACGATTGGATCTTCTGAGAACATCAGAGAAAGACTGCTCTTGCCATCCACACTGCAACAAAACTTTGGGACCTTGAACTTTGGGTTCATAATCTCACAACTGAAGAGGGTCCCTCCACATTCTTGGAACTGTACACCCATTGGAACCCTTAAGGTAAAACTAACCACATAAATTTCTCCCCAGAAAAGATGGCATCCCTGATGTGAACAGCTTTTCCCAAGGTCATGGATCAAGACTTCTCTACTATCATGAGACTCTTATCTTTGAATATTTTACCCTTTCTTATTCCTCTATGAACAATAGAAGTGAAAAGAGGGTCTGTTGTTTGCACTTATAGAGTATACTTTTATCTGTGAAGGGTTTTACAGCCAGCCTTATACATATGTAACTTTATACCTTGATAAATAAAAGACGAAAGCCCAGTGTAGGTGAGAAACTTCAATGGTACATACATTGCCTCATAGTTGCCAGGAACAGAACACTGGTTCACTCCTCTTAGCCTCCATCATGGGTTAAAGAGAATGCTGCCAGAAGGTCTTCATTCTTCTAGAAGGGCCTCATTTGTTAGGTCCTTTTTCTATGGTATGGAATTAAAGAGGCAATGATTAAAAATGTATCCGTCATGACAGACTCTATAGCAGATTCTACTGTAAAGGCCATGGTTACACAACACACTTTAAATTCTCTTGTGAGAGTTATGCTAAATAATAAAATTGCTTTAGATTACTTACTACTAAATAGAAGTATCTGTGCAGCTGCTGGCACTTGTGGCCTGTGGAGAAAACATTGGATAGTATAGAGATTCATTTGTAGGAGATTAGCCAAGAGACTGCTTAGTTAAGTGAGTAGACCCTTTATCTAGCTCGTTCTTTGATCTATTGATTTTAGGTGGTTTGGTTATAGGAACCCTGGGTAAGAAGCATACTTCAAGCTCTTGGTATTATCCTCCCAGTAGTCATAACAGTAGTCTCCCTGGTGCATTGTATTCTCTCAGAAGTTTTGAATGTTTGCATACAGCCATCGCTAGAATGTCAAATGGTTTTTCTTCAACTGGAATGACTAAAGCTGAAATAAATATGCAACCATGAAGACACTGTAATTTATGAATGACATGCTGAGACCAGAAACCCAAAATGATGGTAACTGAGAGTGGCACTGAGGCCCCAAGTTTTGGTCACGCTCTCACTTAAGTGAGCTCTCACTTAAGTGAGAGCATGACCAAAAAAATAGGGATTTTTTTAAAACAAAATTTTGAGAGGCTATTGTTTTGGACTGAACTCATGCACTAGGCCCCAACAGACCAGACCGAAACAAAATGGAGTCGCTCGTGCCAAATGTGACATGATCAAAGTAAGACTTTAAGGAATCACATAGATTCTAGAACAGACCAGGTTTTGTTTTTCTCTAGGAAAAACAAACAGGACATTCCAGCATAAGGAAGTACCCTCTACTCAATCCTTGTTCCAGCCTTGCAAAACCCACTGTTCTACTGTTTCCCCATGGGTTTTAAAACCAAATAGATACATTTACAATGGTGATAGTAACACCAATGACTAAAGTTTTGGTCAATCTCTCAAAGTTGAGAAGATGGCCAAAGGGGCCAATTGTTAAATCAAGTTTAGCTTAAAGCTGCCTCCTTAGATATTTTACGTTTGGCCTAAAGATTTCTCTGTACATCGTGAACTATAACTAGTGGAGGTCTGAACAGACAGTAGCCTACACTTGTGCCAATCACTGAGTTTTGGCCAATCAAATGTAGCTAACTGTTTGAACTGTGTCCAAATAAGGCAAACACCAAACTGTAATCAATCCAATTGTGTCTGTACCTCACTTCCATTTTCTGTACATCACTTTCCTTTTTCTGTCCATAAATCTTCTTCCACCCCTTGTCTGCACTGGAGTCTCCAAGCCTACTCTGACTGGAAAAGCTGCCTGATTTGCAAATCATTCATTGTTCAATCTAACTCCTTTAAATTTAATTTGGCTGAAGCTTTTCTTTTATCACCATTATTGGCCACCACAAAAACACAATGAAATACATAGACCATTGATACTCTAAAGTAACTATGCAATCAAGTCTAGATAACAACCATTTAACAACATGATGACAGGATAAAATCTACACATATAAATATTAATCTTGAATGTAAACAGGCTAAATGCCCCACTGAAATGGCACAGAGTGGCAGGATGGATAAAGAAGCAAGACCAAATTGTGTGCTATCTTCATTCCTATCTCACATGCAATGACACCTATAGGCTCAAAGTACAGGGATGGAGAAAAATCTGTCAAGCAAACAGAAAACAAAAAAGAGACAGGATCACTATTCTTATTTCAGCCAAAACAGACCGTAAACAAACAAAGATAAAAAAGACAAAGAAGGGCATTACATAATGATAAAGGGTTCAATTCAACAAGAAGGCAAAACTATCCTAAATATGAATTCACCCAAAACTGGAGCACCCAGATTTATAAAACAAGTTCTTAGAGATGTACAAAGAGACTTAGATAACCACACAATAATAGTAGCAGAATTCAACACTCCAGTGACAGTGTTTGACAGATCATTGGGGCAGAGATCTAATAAAGATATTCAGGACCTATACTTGACACTAGAACAAACAGAACTAACAAACATCTACAAAATGCTCCACGTAATAACGACAGAATGTACATTCTTCTCATTTGCACATGGTACATCCTCTAAAATTGATGACATGCTCAGCCATAAAGCAATTCTCAACAAATTAAAAAAATCTGAAATTACACCAGCCATAATCTTGGACCACAGAGCAAAAAAATAGAAATCAAGACTAAGAAGATCTCTCAAAACCATACAATTACATGGAAAGTATACAACCTGCCCCTGAATGACTTCTGGGTAAATAATGAAATTAAGGCAGAAATCAAGAAATTCTTTGAAACTAATGAGAACAAAGATACAACTTACCAGAATCTCTGTGACACAGCTGAAGCAGCATTAAGAAGAAAGGGTATAATGCTAAATGCCCACATCAAAAAATTAGAAATATCTCAAATTAATAACCAAACATCACACCTAGAGGAACTAAAATAAACAAGAACAAACCAATTCCAAAGCTAGGCAAAAAAAAACAAACAACAACAACAACAAAAAAAAACAAAACAAAACCAAAATCAGACCTGAACTGCACAAAATTGAAACATGAATGACAATACAAAAGACTAACAAAACCAGAAGTTGGCTTTTTGAAAGAATATACGAGATTGATCGACCACTGGCTAGACTAATACAGAAAAAAGAGAGAAGATCCAAATAAACACAATCAGAAATGACAAAGGGAATATTACTACCAATCCTACAGAAATAAAAAAAAAAACCCAAACCCAGAGACTATTATCAACACCTCTATGCACACAAACCAGAAAACCTAGAAGAAATGGATAAATTCCTGGAAATGTACAACCATCTAAGATTGAACCAGGAAGAAACTGAAACTCTGAAAAGACCAATAACAAGTTCCTAAATTGAATCAGTAATAAAAAACCGATCAACCAGAAAAATCCCTGGGCCAGATGTATTTATAGCCCAAATCCCCAGATGTATTTATAGCCAAATTCTACCAGACATATAAAGTAGAATTAGGCCAATCCTACTGAAACTAATTGAGAAGTAGGGACTCTTTTCTAACTCATCCTATGAGGGCAGCATCATTCTGATACCAAACCCTGACATGGACACAATAAACAAAAATTCAGGCCTGTAATCTTAGCAGTTTGGGAGGCCAAGGTGGGCAGATCACCTGAGGTCAGGATTTCGAGACTAGCCTGACCAACATGGAGAAACTCCATCTCTACTAAAAATACAAAATTAGCTGGGCATGGTGGCACATGCCTGTAATCCCAGCTACTCGAGAGGTTGAGGCAGGAGAATCGCTTGAACCAGGGAGGTGGAGGTTGTGGTGAGCCAAGATTGCGCCAATGAACTCCAGCCTGGGCAATGAGAGTGAAACTCCGTCTCAAAAAAATATATATATATATATTTCAGGCCAATATCCTTAAAGAACATAGATTTAAAAATCTTCAACAAAATATTAGCAGATCAAATCCAGCAGCATATCACAAAGCTAATCCACCACAATCAAGTAGGGTTTACTCCTGGAATACAAGGTTGATTCAACATATGTAAATCAATAAATGTGATTTCATCACATAAACAGAACTACAAACATAAACCAATGATGATCTCAATAGACACACAAAAGGCTTTTGATAAAATTCCACATCTCTTTATGTTAAAAACCCTCAACAAACTAGGCATCAAAGGAACATATCTCAAAGTCATAAGAATTATCTATGACAAACCCCCAGCCAACATCATACTGAATGGGAAAAAGCTGGAACCATTCCCCTTGAGAACTGGAGTAAGACAAGGACACCCTCTCTCACCGCTGCTTTCAACATAGTACTGAAAGTCCTAGCTAGAGCAATTAGGCCAGTGAAAGAAATAAATGGCATCCAAACAGGAGAGAGTAAGTCAAACTATTTTTTCTTTGTAGATGATATGATTCTATACCTAGAAAACACCATAGTGTCTGTCCAAAGGCTCCTAGTTCTGTTAAGCAACTTCAGCAAAGTTTCAGGATACAAAATCAATGTATAAAAATCAGTAGCATTTCTATACACCAATAATAACAAGCTGAGAGCCAAAACAATACTATGATCCCATTCATAATAGCCACAAAGAGAACAAAATATCTAGGAATACAGCTAACCAGGGAAGCAAGTGATCTCTACGATGAGAATTACAAAACACTGCTGAAAGAATTCAGAGATGACACAAATAAATGGCAAAACATTCTATGCTCCTAGACAGGAAGAATCAATATTGTTAAAGTGGACACATTGCTCAAAACAATTTACAGATTCAAAGTCATTTCCATCGAACTACTAAGAACATTTTTCATAGAATTAGAAAAAATTATTGTAAAATTCATATGGAATTTAAAAAAAGCCTGAATAGCCAAGGCAATCCTAAGCAAAAAGAACAAAGCTAGAGGCATCACACTACCTGGCTTTAAGTCCAGAGTAACCACAACAGCATGGTATGAGTGCAAAAACATGTACACAAACCAATGAAACAGGTTAGAAATCCCAGAGATAAAGCTGCACACTTACAACCATCTGATTTTTGATAAAGTTGACAATAAAAAATAATGAGGAAAGGAATCCCTGTTTATTAAATGGTCTGGGATAACAGGCTAGTCATATGCAGAAGATTGAAAGTGGACTCCTTCCTTTCATCATATACAAAAATCAGTTCAAGCTGTATTAGAGACTCAAATGTAAAACCTAAAACTATAAAAGTCCTAGAAGAAAATCTAAGAAATATCATTTGGACATAGGCCCTGGCAAGGATTTTATGATAAGGACTCTAAAAACAATTGCAACAAAAACCGAAATAGACAAGTGGGACCTAATTAAACTAAAGAGCTTCTGCACAGCAAAAGAAACTACCAACAGAGTAAACAGGGAACCTACAGAATGGGAGAAAGTATTTGCAAACTATGCATTTAACAAAGGTCTTATATCCAAAATCTGTAAGGACCTTAAAGAAATCAACAAGCAAATAACCACATTAAAAATGGGCAAAGTCCATGAACAGACACTTCTCAAAAGAAGACATACATGTGGCCAACAAGCATATGAAAAAATATTCAACATCACTAATCTTCAGGGAAATGCAAATCAAAACCATAATGAGATACTGTCTCACGACAGTCAGAATGGCTATTATTAAAAAGTCAAAAAATAACGGATGCTGGTGAGGTTGTGGAGAAAAGGAAACACTTACATACTGTTGGTGGGAATGTGCTGGTGAGGTTGTGGAGAAAAGGAAACACTTACATACTGTTGGTGGGAATGTTCTGGTGAGGTTGTGGAGAAAAGGGGACACTTAAAAACTGTTGGCAGGAATGTAAATTAGTTCAGCTACTGTGGAAAACAGTTTGGAGAGATCTGAAGGAACTTGAAACAGAAGTAATATTCGATCCAGCAATAACAGTACTGAGTATATACCCAAAGGAATACAAATCATTCTACCATAAAGACATATGCATATGTATGTTTATCATAGCTCTATTCACAATAGCAAAGACATGGAATCAACATAGGTGCCCATCAACAGTGGACTGGGTAAAGGAAATGTGGTACGTATATGCCATGGGATATTACTACTATGCAGCTGTGAAAAGAAAGAAGATCATGTCCTTTGCAGCAACATAGATGCAACTGGAAGCCATTATCCTAAGTGGACTAATGCAGGAACAGAAAACCAAATACCACATGTCCTCATTTATAAGTGGGAGCTAAACCTTTAATACACAGGGACCCTAAGAAGAGACCAATAGACACTGGCACCTACTTGAGGGTAGAGGTGGTAAGAGGGTGAGCATCAAAAAAACTACCTATTGGGTACTATGCTCATTACCTGGGTGATGAAATAATTTGTACACCAAACCCCCAAGACACACAATTTACTCACATAACAAACATGCACCTGTGCCCCCAAACTAAAAGTAAAAGTTGATAGGATAAAAATCATGAAATGTTCCATGTATCTCCAAGAAAGTCTTAGGCAGCAGCCAGATGTGCTACTACTGTGCCAATATTGGTTTCTATTACAAGGTTGGGAACACTGGCCCAAGGCAAAATTACAAAGCAGGTGAATTTATTTTTTGTGATTGACACCTATCTTTGTACTACCGTCATGATCCAATTCCTCCTTATTCCTAGCAACCCATGGACTTTATGTCACATCTCACAACATTCTCTTGATTTGCCTACTTTTTCTCAAAGTTCTCTTCATTTTTTTCCTCTTCTTCCTTGCTGCAAATCAAGTGTCTGAATTACTTAAGTAGTTACTGGAAAGAGAAGGCTCATTGGCACATCAGAGTAATTCCATTTAAAATGTTAATGCGAGCACTTAAGAACTTCAAATCTTAGCCTAGTCATTGCTGGTAATATGAACATTTAAAAATCCTTTAACCTCTTTATAATCATTAGTTTCTTTATCTTTGAAATAGGAAAAATTGTTATGGAAAACCAATAAACTTCTTGGCACAGTGCCTGGAAGATTGAAATCATCCAAATACTATTAACAGCTGTTGCCATTATTATTATTATCATCATTATTATTAAAGATAGGTGAGGCACACTTGCCAGAATATTTTGTATTAAGAAATATGTTAATACCAATAACAATTTGCTGGGGAGAGACTCCTACATGTAATGTTCTATACTGTCTAACAGAAAATCAGGTGTCAGAAAGCTAGTTTCTGAGCATCTGTTCAAAATACTTTGAAGTTATGTTACTTGGTGCATTCATATCATGGGTTGTTATGTTCTCCTGACTTTAACATATTCTGTGTGTTGAAGTCTTTTCCTGATAATAATATAACCATACTTTTTGGTTTCCAATTGTTTGGTATAACATTTTTTATTGTCTTACTGTCAGTATATGTGTCTCATATCTGTGATATATACTTACTAATGTGTTTCCTGTACAAAGCATATACATTTGGGGGCCTTTTTTTGTGATTTAGTCTGACAAACTCTGGCTTTTTATAGACTGTTTATTTCATTTACATTTAATGCAAATGTTGAGTTAAGTCTACCATTTTTCTATTTATACTATCTACTTTTGCTTTTTTTTCTGGTTTCTGTGGCAGAAGCAATTGTGCTTCATGACTTTCTATATGTCATAGTTAGATTCCTGGCACTGGAATGAGTATTTTGATTTAGAAAAAATTTTATTTTTTTCTCAGTGATATGTAAGCCTTTTAACATAATTCAATGAATTCCTTGTTTCAAGCACTATTATGTCTTAAGAAGAAAAGTTGTTATTGATTTTTGACCAGATTTTTCATAGTTGTTGACTAGAGAAAAATTCTCCTGTTTCTCCCAGTGTCCATTTAAAACCAATTTATCTCTTTGGAGACCCCAACTTCAAGTTATTTCCTAGGTTTTATGCTGCAACTATTTCCTTCCTTCCTTCCTTCCTTCCTTCCTTCCTTCCTTCCTTCCTTCCTTCCTTCCTTCCCCTCCCTCCCTTCCTTCCTTCCTTTCTTTTTTGGAGCAAAGTAGTGTTAAGAGACCATGTCTTTACTTAATGGGCATCTATTGGAGTCTACCCAAAACTAAAAAGATTGTGCAAATATATTATAATATTCCTGTGGAACAGATGATGAAATGTGAGATGTATAGTAATGAAACAAGGTGGTTTCATGGGCAATTCGGCAGCTTCATCTATTGTGTTCCCATAGAGATTGAGGTCAATCTGGACAGAGTCCTCTAGCTAAATGCCACTGAGCTTCTGTCTGGGTATGTCCCATTCATTATATTTTGAATTCAATAAATTAAAACAATACTTTAAAAAACATGTTTTTTTTTCTAACCTGTGGGAAATCTACCTGCATTTTAGGGGCATAACATGCTAGTTTAAAGAAATTTTTTTTGTAGGTACCTTGCATAGCATTAAAACTGATACTAAAAAAAGCAAATGCAAGTACTTTTCCCCTAATCATGTTCATCTTTACTCCCATTGGCACCCTTGGTTTTTGGGCTCAAGATTCAAAATTATTTTAATAGGTAAGAGGAATTGACATTGACCAGGTAAAATTTAAGTAGAAAAAGATAAAATTTGATATTTAAGAAATTATCTATGTAAATATTTTTAGCAAATGTATAGAGGTATAGATATAGAGAGAAATATGTAGATATACTTGCATATGCATACACACACATGTGCATGTGCACACACACAGAGAGATGCTTATCAGAAATACCTGAGATTTGTAGCTTTATCCAAATAAAAATAATTGGTTTGCAATCAAAACCAAACATGGGATTCAAGAGTTAAAAAAATCCTAATAAAGTGTTACAATGCACACATAAAAGCATACATAGTTCAGATCATGCAAGAATATCTGGGAATACCTGGAGTATTATAGCTGCCCTATTACTTTTATTTTATTGCAAAATGGAAAGTAAATAAAAAAGTAAGACTGGGATAGTTAAGACCAAAATCTATGTCATATACAGAATAATTGGGGAAAATAAAAATACTTATTGTGACAATCAGAAAACTTATAGGGAACATGAAAACATTGGAAGCCAAATACACGGTTTTATATAGACTATGCAGGCATGTTTTTTCCTGCTACTTTAGATGAGAAGTGATTTTTAGATTTTTCCCAAAGTATTCTTAGTGATACTTGTCAAATTTCTTTGAGAAGTCATATTTCATTAAAATATTATCCGAATTGTTTCATTCTATACCATAATGTGTTTGTGTTGGTATAATGTAAGAAATCTTTTCTCTTCATTCTCTTCATATCTTCAGGGCAGGGCATTTATATTTATCCTGTGCCATCAGGCATAGTCTCTGAAATGCACAAGCAAGTGCACCTAGGTATTCATACTATAGGGTGAGATGTGACCAATGGGCATGCATTCCCAAGAGTTATATTTTTTCATTTATTATTTTAAAAGATCATTCAAAACAAAAACTGAAATATAATTTTCTAAATATTGATTGTGTTTACTTGAAAATTTGAAAATGAGAGACCAGAGCCTGAATAGCCATTTTCACATTTTTTTTGATCAGGTGTAGAAAAGATTCCTACAGTAGATTTAACTTGTAATAGATAATTTGTGAGTTATTTGAGTCTATAATAGCTCTAAGATTGGAGATTACGTATGCTACTCAGAGAAAGAAAAGAAGATGGGAGAAACAAGAAACCTGAAAGATGTTCAATTCAATTAAATGTCAAGTATTAAAATTTTAGCCTGAAGGAATGAAAATTTCAGGTTATAGACAATGATGGAGACCTCCAGGTAGCCCAGGAAAATGACTGTTATTGAATTTGGATCTCTCCACACATCCTCCAGAAACCTATACAGACCAATAAGAAACATAAATGCAACCCACATAACCCCCAATGTTAACCAAACCAGAAGAAGAATAATTCCCCAACTTCAAATTACTTGTTAGTAGAAAAATATAGGCTGAATTTCAGCAGAACATTCAACTTAAGCTCTAGCCACAAGTCTTTGAGTAGAGGGAGCAATATTCCAATTGCCCCACCCCATCTTGTCAAAGTACGTAAAAGAGGAAGAACTGAAGGGCCAATATTAAACCTGCACATAATGAAACGATCTGTTAAACTCTTGAGTGAAATGGCAAAGGCAAAGAGAAATATAGAATTCTTAAGACATAATAATAATGAAAATATTACATATCAGAACTTACAGAACACTTTTAGAGTAGATATCAGAGAAAAATTCATAGAACTAAACACTTTTATTAGTAAAATAGTGAAAATAAAGTAAATTCTCAGCTGAAAAGTTAAGAACCTCTCCCCAGCAAAGTAAAGAGAATTAAAAAACCAGAGAAAGAAACAGTAAAGATAAAAGTAGAAATTAATGAGCTATATATAGAAAGATAGTAGATCTAAGATACAATTAACTTGTTAAAATTCTGTTTCTTGAAAACAATTGGTACATAGAAAAAACACCAGCTAACTTAGTCAAGGGAAGAAAAGGAGAAAGAATACACATACATAAACACAAATAAAGAGATGGTAAGGGTGAAATAAACATTGAAATCAGAAGAAAATAAAAAAACAAGAGATATTATCAAATATGACTTTTTCACACTTCTAAGCCAATAAATTTGAAAACTTAGATGGATAATTTTCAAGGAAAATTTTATTTACCAAAATTGGACTCAAAGAAGACAGAAAGCTTAGAAGGATGCTAGGAAAATGCAATAGGCTGATAGGCTGAATGTGCAGGGGAAAAAAAGAACAAAAAAAAAAAAATTTAATTATGTAACAAGATAGTTGACCTCACAGTAAAAAATAACAAATAAATTTTAAAAATTGAAAAAAGTGTATAAACCATGAGGTTACCAACAATACTAACTGTCTCAGTAATGGCACTAAATATATATTTGTTAATATAAAATGCTCATATTAGGTTTTAAACTAAGCTCCATTTGTAAGAGATTGTTAAAACAAAATAACCAAAATTACTTCAATAGAAAAATGAGGCCGGGCGTGGTGGCTCACCTCTCTAATCCCAGCACTTTGGGAGGCTGAGGTGGGTGGATCACCTGAGGTCAGGAGTTCCTGACCAGCCTGGCCAACATGGTGAAACCACGTCTGTACTAAAAATACAAAAATGAGCCAGACATGGTGGCGTGTGCCTGTAATCCCAGCTACCCAGGAGGCTGAGGCAGGAGAATCACTGGAACCCGGGAGGCAGAGGCTGCAGTGAGCCAAGATCGCGCCACCGCACTCCAGCCTAGGTGACAGAGCAAGACTCCATCTGACAAAAAACAAACAAACAAACAAACAAAAAACCGGGAAAATATATATCAGGGAAATACAAACAAAAAGAAATTATGTGTGCCTCTACTGATTGTTAACTGGCAAGCCACCCTTCGTGTTTCTCTCCTTTTTCTTTAATTCTTACATTGATATCCAATAAAACTGATATTAGTTAAGTTGTATTTAAGGGATGCAAGAATGATTTAGTATTTTTTAACTATTAATGCATCAAATTAATTGATTAGAAGGGAGAAACAAAAAAGCTTACAAACACATTCTGAAAAGGTATTTATTAAAAGTCAATATATAATCCTCATCTTTAAAAAATTTTAGCAAATTAGATACCTTGACATTAAGAATATGTCCATTTTAAGCTGAAGCTAATATAATTCGTAACAATGATATGCTCTCAGAGAGTTCAATAACCGAGGTAAGGATACCTACAATTATTATCATTATTTTACATTATTCTGGAAGTTTTCATTAATGCACTGAGGTAAAAAACCATAGTAATTAAAATACCTATGGGAAAGGAAAGTGCAGAATTCTTACAATTATAGGTGGTAGAGCTAGGAATTCCAAGGAAATAAAGTGCTAATCAAATAGAAAGACAGCTCAGATATTTGACCAGATTGAAAACCACACAGATATCAGTAACTTTTCTATAAGCCTGAAATAACTATTTAGAAAATCTAATAAAAATCTTATTCTGAATAGTAGCAAATATATAAAACATATGCAGGAGTGAATTTCTAAAAAGGTAGCAAAGCGAAAAGTTTGCTAAATGACACAAAACAAAATTTTAATAGAGTAAAATGGTGTGGTAAGGACTGATAAAAAAGTGGACTTTTCCAAATTTACTTATTCAGTGAATACAATTCCAATAATAATCGAAGCCTGAATTTTTAAATAGGCAAAGGACTTAAATTGACCTCCTCCAAAGAAAAGATACAAATGGCCAACAAGTAACTGAAGAGATGCTGAACATCGCTAACCATCAGGGAAGTGGAAATCAAAACAGCGGTGAGATATCATTTCATACCTTTTAGGATGGTTATTATAAAATAAAAGATAATAAGTATTGGCAAAGATCTGGAGAAACTGGAACCCTTGTACATTATTGGTGGGAATGTAAAATTGTGCAGCCTCTATGGAAAACAGTATGGAGTTTCCACACACAAAAAAATAGAATTACCACATGATCCAGCAATCTCACTTCTGGGTGAGGGAGGGAAATGGGGAATAGTTCAATAGGTATAAAGTTTCAGTTGTACAAGATGAGTAAGTTCCGGAGATCTCTACAGCATAAGGATTAGAGTTAATAAGGTATTGGGCACTTAACCATTTGTTAACGGTGTAGATCTCATGTTTTGTTTTTACTACAAAAACAAAGTGGCACACACACAAACGTTTTGAAGGTGGTGGATATGCTTATTATCTTGATTGTGGTGATCGCTTCACAGCCATATGCATATGTTCAAACTCATCAAATTATATACATTAAATATGTGCAGTTTTTAGTATATCAATTATACCTCAATAAAGCCATTAAAAATCTAGGCATGTTTTTCAAACAAAATACTTTCTATGTATGTATGATGTATGTACGTGTGTATCTCTCTCTCTATATATATGTGTATATATATATGTGTGTGTGTGTGTGTGTGTGTGTGTATAATTTATCTTTTTGAGACAGTCTCACTCTGTCACCCAGACTGGAGTGCAGTGGCATGACTGCTCACTGCAGCCTTGACCTCCTGGGTTCAACTGATCCTCCCACCTCAGCCTCCTGAGTAGCTGGGACTATAGGTGCATGCCACCATGCCCAACTAATGTTTGATTTTTTTGTAGAAACAAGATCTTGTTATATTGCCCAGGCTGGTCTTGAACTCCTGGTATCAAGTGATCCTCCTGCCTTGACCTTCCAAAGTGCTGGGACTATAGGCATGAGCCATCATGCCCAGCCCCAGAGTATATTTTGAATAATAAATTGGAAAGAATATTTGGGAAATTCCTAGGAAAAGGCATAATAAGGATAGATTTTTCCTATAAGATACTGACATTTTATATAAAGCTAAAATATTGAAAACATGGGATTCTGTGATGTTATAATAAAATAAACATCAAATTTACTAAAAATTAAAATAATGTTCAATCCTTTTTCCTGGACTTCAGAAGGAAAAAATGCTTTTTCAGGAGTTACTGCAGCCATCCATATCAAGTGTGAAAAGTTACCTTCTAGAATGATTCTGTCCATGGTACACAACAGGAAACACCAGGGTACCAACCATTAGGAGTATCTCCTACATTTTACATACCAAAATATGCAGGTCACATGACAAAAAGAGAAATGTATTTGCAACATGACAAATGGATAATATCATTGACTTATTTGTGTTTATGTATATAACTAATACACAAAGATTACTCACAAATCAATAAGAAGAACTTCCTTTTAAAAAAGAGAATGGTCATTTCATCCTCACAATAATAACAAGTGGTTAAAAAGTTCATTTTTACTAGTAATGTAAAATAAAGTATGTTTACAATTTCTTTTCACTATTTGAAACATGAATGTTCAGTATTAGCAGTTATGGGGGAAATAGACACCTGCTTTTGTACACTGCTGATAGGAGCACATGTTTTATATATAATACGTATATATAATCCTTAAAATATTCATATTTTTTAAATTAATAAATTCTCTCTAAGAGTTATTGAAAGGAAAGAATAAGAAAAGCCAAAATGTTTTTATCTTTTTTAAAAAAATGTATTTATTGAATGTCTTCAAATTATACTAATACATTTCTGTTGTAATACATTAAATGATACAATATGAAAAAGTATAAAAACAAAGTTAATTATCTCTCCCTGCCTTCCTTCTACCTATGCTTCGCATTCCTCAGTGGAAACCAATTTTAGTGGTCTGGTATGTACCTTCATACCTATCTCCTTGTTGAAATGAATATATATAGCATATTATCTAAAGGGGTTTGGTTGGTTGATTGTTAGTGCTGAAATGAACTTTAAATACATGCATTATTCTGTAGTATGCTTCTTTCACATGTCAATATATTGTGGGCATTTCTAGAAGTCAGTAAATACAGATCTAAGCTTGCTTTACTAACTTCCTGAGGTAGACAAAAGCAAACAAATATTATATATCATCATAATGGTATAATCATTTCTGTATTCAGTTGTATCATAATCATATGATTATGTTATATTTTACATACATATTATATATTGTATCATACATAATTATACATATTACACATATTTATATATAACAGTTAAAGTAAATTCATGAATTCTCTTTTTTATCTTTTTTCCTCTCTGTCCATTCATTGAGGAATTATTTAGAATATCAAACATCTACAAAGAGATAACTATCCAATAAAAGCAGAACTACTGTGTCATTTGTGGAATACATTTTTATACATTTTTGTGTAATTTGTGATGGATTACTAGGCAGCCACGAAGAAGCCATGTCTTTTGCTCCATGTTTTCTTAGATTCTGTATTTGACATCTGCTCATCACAGGGCAGATTATATTAACTATATTTTCTTATTTTCTGTACTTTTGATACCCTGGCATTTCTCGCTGAGTAGGGAGAGACTGCCCCTCCCAGGGCTAGGCTTTTCCTAGAAATAACATAGGGCTGGCTGGGTGTGGTGTCTCACGCCTATAATCCCAGCACTTTGGGAGGCTGAGGTGGGCAGGTCATGCGGTCAGGAGTTTAAGACCAGTCTGGCCAACATAGTGAAACCCCATCTCTACTAAAACTACAATAAATTAGCTGGGCGTGGTGGCAGGCACCTGTAATCCCAGCTACTCGGGAGGCTGAGGCAGGAGAATCGCTTGAACCCGGGAGGCGGAGGTTGTGGTGAGTCGAGATTGTGTCATTGCACTCCAGCCCAGGCCACAGAGCCAGATGCCTGAAAAAAAAAAAAAAGAACGAACACAGGGCTCAGTCTGGGAGCGTGTTTTTTATATGCAATCCAGCCAATCCCCAACCATTTTTCAGCCATCTCCTTATCTAATTATCAGATACCAAGCCATGTCCCTGGCCCTAAATTATTACAGGGCTAGGTACCAGGCAACTAGACATCACCCCAATGCCCCAAAGCCCGGTAGAATTCTTTAAGCTAGCCATTCCAAAGATTTTTCCTCTGTCCTGCCTTGCCAAACCCCAGTCAGTGCTCTGCCTAGACTTTCCTCTCACTCCTGCTTCTACCTCCTGACCACCCCAGTGTTTTCTCCTGGGCCTTGTGTGGCATGCGGTAACCTCCGCCTCTGGAACCTGTAAGGATAATAAACTTCTTCCTTCCAAGACTCATTCTCATCTTCTCCTGTGGACACACTGACTTCACCATATCAAAGCCAATGTTTACATTCTTAAGACACTTTTCAATGATATTTGCGTAACAGGCAAATTACACAAAACAGTATAAAATGCAACACTCCAATTTCTAATGAATACATGTGTTTGCATACTTAAGAAAGATGTATTAGAAGGAATTACACCCAAATGTTAATAGAGATGATCAGGGGTGGTGTGATACAAGATAACTTCAATGTTTTCCTTTACATTTTAACCTATTTTCCAAAGTTTTACAAGTTTCATTATAAATGTAAATATGTCCATGTATATGTGTCTCTGTCTCCATCTATCTATTATTTTACATGCACAACACTGAATTAAAACCAGCTTTCTAAGTTCCGGAATCTATTTCATATAACAAAATTTCAAAGTGAAGACTTTTAGAATGGCTTATATGTCATGCCATTGTCTTATCCATCCTAGATTCGATTTTTTTTTTTTTGTATTATGACTCTGACTTCCCAAATAAATAAAAGGGCAAAGAATGACACATATCTCCTGGCCTCTTTGATGCAGAAAAGATACCATTGTGAGTATGGTTTTTGTCCAGTGAACTCAGTTATTTTCCAAAACAAAAACTGAGTAACAGCAGAAAACATTACAAGCTCCAATGCAAGGGTTATGACTCAGTCTTTTCCCTCTCTGCAAAATGTACTCTTTGTAAACTACTACCCATGAATGTTCAAGTACTTGGGAAATATTTTCATATGACTTCTGATTTAATTTTGACTCATGCTTAGTGATTTTTCAGTCCACAATGAGGTAGAGTCCAGTGGCGAGTGGATGCCTGCTGTGGAAAAGGGCTTTATCATTTTAATTGCAACCAACTGAAATAGAAACTTTAATGGACTCTCAAACTATTTGCTATCTCATGCCTAAAATGAACATAATCAAGACTTTTATAGATAAACATAGTAAATAATTTTATGCCACATTCATAATATAAACAGAAATTTTTAAAAAATGATGAACTAACAAATTGTGCCAAACTAAGGAATCTGGAACAGGGTGTACAGGGGATGTCTTTGTAGTCTCCCTGGTCATAGGAGCTCACTTCTTGAAAATCAGAGGCCAGGATATTTTTTCTATCATTTAAAATATTCATTGAATATGAGTCAATGAGAAATAAATGTATACAAAAATGTCAAATACATGCCAATATCAGTCTGAATGTGAGATTCTATTTTAGTGAATTCCCAAAAGATATATATACTTCTTAATAAATTTGCTTTTTTATACAAGAATCTAGGGGTGTATGTATTTGTACATATTTATTGCAATATACAGTAGTAGAACTAATGAATAGAAGTGGGAAAAATAATCTTTGGTGATAAGTCAAACTCTTATAAAAATTTCTTTAATTTTTTTTGTAAAAACTCCTATCAAAAAATAATGTTTATCTACCTCAGGCAATTTGTAATCTCTGGTCATAGTGGTTGGTTTTCTATACATAAAGTTATGTTTCCTTAAAGGAAAGATCTGTGATTACAAGTGTTCTGTGTTTGTGAAAGAAATTGGAAATAATTTATAACACTTATAGAATTATAAGCCAATTATCTGTAGAGATGACCTGATTAAAGAAAAATCAGTTTTAAAAATTATAGAAATATGGATATGCTTTGTATTAACAGTATAGGAGAAAAGTAAACATATATTGAAAATATTCATTTAAGATTCATATGATTTTCTGCTATAATAACCTAAATCTATCAAGCTAGATATTTTAAAATGCATCCTTCTAGGATATTTATAACCTAAGGAAAAAATAAGTATATGTAATTCTTTACAAATGAACGCAGTTAGCTTTTTTCTTCTGAGTACATTTTTTTTCCACCATGCAGTCCTTCTAGTCTCTCTTTTAATACCTTGAATATTGTCAAGAACTATGAAAGTTCTAAGATTTTAAGTCTACTTGCAAGCTAAGGAAGTAGATTAAGTAAGCTTGTTAGTTTGTCACAGTTTTATGGATGCTGGTGGAAGACATGAAACTCCTGGATCCAAGACAAAGGATAGTTCATTACTCATAGCAATAATAGTAGCCAGTCTCTCACCATGTTTGGTCAGTTTCCCCTTGCTTCCATGTTCCATAGGGATGAAGTGAATGGACCCAGGTAGATGTCTTATTCACAGTGAGCTTTATTCCAGGAGAGGAATCCTGACTCGGGAAATCTGAATCTTTTATAATGGCAGGAAGTATGCTTGCCCTTTGCTTTGGAAAGAGGTATAATTATTATACAGACTAGTAATCAAATTTGTTCTTTGCTCTGGAGGAAGACACAGTATCTGTCTTTCAAGGTTGTGTGTGCTACAATTGTCCTTGAAAAGATAGTCTAGAACAAAGGGTACCTCTACTTATAAGGTGCAGAAATGGAACAAAGCAGTAGGTACCTATGCTTATAAGGTGCAGAAATGAGAGACATGTGGAGAATTGCCTTCCAACAAATATGTGATGATTTCCCTAAGGAGTGGGTTTCCCAGTCCTAGGAATTCTAGGCTAGTTGGGATTAAGAATTGTGTGTTAAATACCACAGATGCCTCCTATGCACTACCTCTGTGAATCATTGTTTGTCATAAAATACATTGTTGCCTTCAGCATGGAAAAGCTGTGAAGAGATGTGGTAGACAGACTTCTCAGATGATTGCCAATGATTCTCTCCATCATATGATCCTCCAGTTTAATGTGGGTGGAACTTCTGAATACTATGAAATTTCACTCCAGTAATTGTTATATTTTTTAAAAAAGAGCCTGAGCTAATCAGGTGATCTCTTTAAAAGCTTAGAGTGTTTTCTAGGGCTATTCATAGAGGATGTAGTCTGAGAGAAGGAATACCTCCTGGCTTGGAAGAAAGCAAACAACCATATTGTGATTGTCTTTGGGGGCCATGTGGCAAGGAACTGTGGATGAACTCTAGCTGCTGAGAGCAGCTCCTGACCAATAGCCAGCAAGGAACGGGCACGTCAATCACATACTGGAAGGAGCTGAATTCTGCAGTGAGGACATAACACTGGAAGAAGAACCCAGCTCCAGATGAGAATGCAGCCCGGTCAACACTTTGATTTCAGCCTGTGAGAAACTGATCAGAAAACTGAGCCCTGCTTGGACTTCCACCCTACAAAACTGTAAGCTAATACACAGGAATTGTTTTAAGCCAGTATGTTTATGGTAATTTGTTAGGCAGCTTTAAAAGGCTAATATAAATGAGAAACTAGGAAGAGAATCCCTGGTTTATTGCACATTAACTATAATTTCCTGCTTCTTCACTGAATATTTTGTTATATAACCTATGGTGATGATTCCAATCAACTACAATCCTTTTTGTAGTCTGCTCTTGACTTTTACTAAATTGCAAATTCTTGATCAATTCCAAATAAAGCCACCATTTATTGGACTTCTACTTTGTCATAAGCACTAAGCTTTTAGACATAATCTCATTTAAACCTCACAGCAATCTCGAAAGGGAATGTCTCTATATTTAAGAAAAAGAAACTGCAATTTTGAGGGCTAAGAACCATAATCAGAATCACGCAGACTAATGAGTTGTGAAGTTGGGATTCTCACCTCATTGTGTCTGACTTCAAATCGTATTTTTTTTTTTTTTTTTTTTTTTTTGAGACAGCGTCTGGCTCTGTCGCCCAGGCTGGAGTACAGTGGCGCGATCTCGGCTCACTGCAAGCTCCGCCTCCTGGGTTCACGCCATTCTCCTGCCTCAGCCTCTCAAGTAGCTGGGACTACAGGAGCCCGCCACCGCTCCCGGCTAATTTTTTGTATTTTTAGTAGAGACGGGGTTTCACTGTGTTAGCCAGGATGGTCTCGATCTCCTGACCTCATGATCCACCCGCCTCGGCCTCCCAAAGTGCTGGGATTACAGGCGTGAGCCACCACGCCCGGCCCAAATCGTATTTTTATGTGCTGCATGGTATTACTTTTCAATACTGAAGACAATAACTTATGGTATGCAGTTACTGATCTCAAGTACTGCTCAGATTCAAAGTACAAGTACAGGGATTGTACTTCCCTGCCCTCTTGAAGTTAGGTATCATCATGTAACTAGCATTGGACAATGAAATGTGACACACATCACTTCTGGGCCAAAGCATTTAACTGCGGGTGCTTGATTCCGCAATTCTCTCTTTTCCTGCCAGAACAATCCTGGAAGCCAAGAGTTAAGATATGGCCCACATTAGCCTTGGTTTCTAAGTGGGTCTCATGAGCAGAACTTTCCATATTGGATGTGTCATATGAGCAAGAAATAAACATTTGTTGTTTTAAGCCACTGAAATTTTGAAGTTGTGTTGTTATTGCAGCACAACTTTGTCTTTCTGAGCAGTGTACGTGAATCAAAAGTTATAACCAACAGTGCCTGCAATTCTTACTGATAAAGTTACACTTATTTTTGGCACTCATTACTCATACACTATGCTTTAACTTTATTGACCTGCTTGCAGGTCCCTGAATGCTTGGTGTTTTCTCATATCTCAGCACATTGAACACCTTCTTTCCTCTGCTTGAAATAGAAAAGATTTTAGCATAGTGGGTGGTTAAAAATGGGCTATGGATTCAGGCTAGACTAGATTTATATCCTGACCCTTTCACTCTCTGTCTGTACTGACTTGGGCAAGTAACTTAACCCCTTTTTACCTCCACCTGCTTATCTGTAAAATGGATAATAATAGTACATTGATCATGGGGCTGCTGCAAATATTAAATATTTATTCATAAATAAAAAATATGAAATATTTTTTATTAAAAAATAAATATGAACCATTTAGAATAACAAGGTTGTTATTATTACTACTATTGTTAAAAACTCCACTTAGCTATCACGTTTTCCAGGAAGCCTTCCTGATACTTCCAGGTTCAATTAGGTGGCCCTTTGTTGAGCTGCTGTAATAGATTGTCGAGACATTTATCCGATTACGTCATATACTTGTCTGTCTCTTCTCTAAGGTGTACACCTGAAAAATATGGATTAAAAATAGAACAACATTGTATTCCTAGCACCTAGTAGTCAATAAATGTTTTCTGAATGAATAAAGAAATTTAGAGTCAATAGCTGTGGGCCTAAGCTAGTAATTACTAAGGAAATAATTATGAGCCTCAAGTAAAATTAATCTTATAAATGAGAATTGCATGAGTTAATCTAGTTACAGAAATGTTCTTTTAACTAACTTGATTGATTGAAGCTTCGTTTTTCTAGAGTTAGGTTAAATAGGATGTTATTTTCAAAAATTGAGATCATTTTTGATTTTCTCAAATTGCTGAAAGCACAAAGTTTGTATTACAAACAGTTTGAAATATAGCTGATCATTCTGTCATTAGCACCCTGGATTATGTTTAGAGAGGTACTCTACCCATCACACTTGATAATAAATGCCAACAGTTAGCATTACTGTTTGTGAGCACCCCAAATTGCTGCAAAGCAGAAATAAGGCTTAAATGTATCATCTTTATCATCTAAAATAATTGACGTTTTTGCGATTGTCCTATTTACAGTCATGGATTGATTTAGACATTTGGGAAAACTGACCCCGTTAGCTTAGTGAGAAAGAAAACCCCCACATTTTTGGTTTTGATAAGTTTGTAATTTCTCAAAAGAAAATTGCCAACTTTTTTTTTTTTTTGGTATCCAGTTCTAAAGTTGAGGACTTACCTTCTAGTATCATCAAACTCTGTATAGTCAGTGATGCCTCCCCCGACGAAGTTAACTGTTCTAACAATGATCTTCCAAGTTAAAACTTTTGAAACATGGGAAATACATTTTATCCTGGGTGTGAAACCTTTATCACATTAAAGTTGGGAGACATTTGTCATTAACGATATTTAGAATTTCTACCCCCACCATTGCAGAGCTATGTTTCCTATTGTCTGAACCCTGCATGCAGAGCAGGAAGCTCATTTTCTTGTGGTTGAGCAAAAATGAAGGTTCTTAGTGGAGATAAGTAGGTTTTCCTTTTCAGTATAGAAATAAATAACAGTAGTAAATAAATTGAGAGGAGGAAGTGAAGCCAAGAATGAACTCAGGAGATGCCACTGTGCCCAGGTGTGCCCTTGAGGAGGAGGGACAAGGGGTCATAGCCTCAGGACTTCTTACCTGTTGGCAGGGAGGGATGCTCATGTGGCTTCATTAACTGTTCTTTCTTGGGTAGAAGGAACAGGTCTGTGTATGGAAAAAAGAACTTCAGAATTTGTTTTTGTTCCCCCTCTGTTACATCTGTGCCTCTGATTTCTGCCACAACCGATGTGTACGCATTCCCTTTCTCCATCACTGAGCTTCAGTTTGGTTGTATGCTCCAAGATTGCTTAAAAGACTTTCAATGAACCTAATTCTATTCTCTCCTAAAGCATCTCTTTGAATAACCGTTTAAAGGAGCTTACAGCCTTATTATAGCAGAAAGCCATTGTTGGTGAATTCAACAAGGTGGGAGACCACTGTGTTTGTTTCAGTAGTGCAGGGCGGTGGTGTTAAGCCCCTGGAAGGCACTGAGCTCTACACTGGTGCAGGCTAAGGAGAAAAGATTAGGAGCTGGGCTTGAGAGCTGCTCTTCTGGGTCCTTGCAGCGTGCGCTCACAGCAGGCAGTGGAAGTGTTATGTCTACTCCTGGGCAGAGGGGCCGTGGCCCTGGCTGCAGGTATTTCTGGTAAATGCAGGTTTGAGGGCATGAGGATGATGCTTTGAGCTTCCTCTGAATGTTTCTTTCCGCTTAGCTAACATAAATGTTACACATTCCAAACTTTTATAATAGAATGAGTGGGAGACATTGGCAGTTGTCAATAAAACAATTGTCTATGGTACTCCTTATGTAACAAACTGGATTTTTAAAACTTATTTATCTTAAATTTTATAATATTTTAACCTGTGGTTTTTCCCTCTCAAGACATCCAAATGGCTAAAAAATCTATGAGCAAATTATTCAATCAGTCAATAACATTAAAAAAAGTACACATTTTAAACCCCTTTTTATGGTAAATATGTAAAATGCCAAAGCACACCGTGTCTTGACTTGTATGTTCGGTTGGGATTTATATGCAACTTTTAAAAAGTGTAAAGAAAAGCAGTTTTTCTTTTCTAAACTTTCTTCTCAGTTAGGTTCTGCAAAACGCTCCCCCAATTCTCATGAAGTCTAACAGCTGCTATTAAAGCTTACTTTACATGCATGTAGTTAGCAGATATGTTGAAAACGTTTAACAAGTTAAAATGCCAGATATAGTTAGCATTTGTAATTACAAGTATTTTATTTCTCCATAAATAATTCCAGGATTGATTAAGTATAAGGTGACACTAGCCAGTTTTTGGTCTTTGTTTTTTTTTCTCACGATCCTCAACCTTCTTTCTTTTTCCTTGATTTCCTTATTGTCTTTCACCAGTATTTCCTAGTTCCATTCCTTTTTCTTGACTTTGTTCTTTTCTATATTCTTTCCTTTCCCAATTTTTCCTCTGCTTTTTAATTTTCTAGTTTCCTTTTTCCCTGTTTTTTTATTGTTACTTTTCTTTCTCCTTTGTTGTATCTTAAAAGAAGGAAGAAATAAACTGTCCACCAGAGGGCAATCTGATCCTGCGCGCGCGTGCGCGCGCGCACACACACACACACACACACACACACACACACACACTCTCTCTCTCTCTCTCTCTCTCTCTCTCTCTCTCCCTCTCTCTCTCCCTCTCATACACACACACACACACACACAGCCATTTTCTCTCATTTTTTTTCTTTTAAAACTTCCTTCCAGAGGAATATGATGGTTCAGAGAGTAGGTGGTAAAAAACCCTTTTATTTATAAACTCCTTTCATTATAGCTTCTGTGTGGGTGTGTAGTCTCAATGATTTGATTTGTGAAGACTCAAACTGTTGTAGGTTTGTATAAGGAGTATATAGACCCTTATTCTAACAGCCCTAAGAAAACAGTGTAATTATTTGGGGTTATCTTAGAAGCTGCCAAAATACATGGTGAAAATGAAAACTTGAGCTGTGAGATTTTGGATGTATAAGACATGGAAAATCAGCAGACTAATTTCTCGGGTGCCTTTAAATATATGTCACTCTAGCATTCAAGAATTTTACACTCTCATTTAAAAAAATGTGAAAGTCATTATTTTTCTATATTTAGCCATGAAAATGTGTAATAGGAATTAATACAACATTGAACAATCAATTTGTGATGATCCTTATGAATAGCGGAGCTACAGGTAGAGTTGAATTCTGGTTAATAAAATACGTTTTAAAAATATGATTCCTAAGTAGTTGCAGAGTGGCTTAATACAAAGTGATTTTCAACATCTTCCAGGGCCACCTCTGCCTCTTGAGCTCGGTCCTGCCTCTGTTCTCAGGTAAGCTGCTGCAATTCTGTGAGCCTCAGTTTACTTCCTTGTAAATGGAAGTATTTTCAACTCAGGTCCTCATAAGCTCTTTATATGTTAATATGTAGTGGCAGGTCAATGTCAAGAAGAAACGGTTTGAGTCAGCTCTCTTCCTGACCTCGCTGACCTGCACATGTCCATGTCACCTGAAAATGCCATTCTGGATCCCTCAGAGGTTTGAGTAAAGAAAAGAAATTTTCTGCATAGAAGCTTGGTGATTTTTCATCCCAAATGTGAAAGAGAGTCTGTTTTAACTTCATTATCTAATGCAATGAGAGGCAAAATGAGGGGCTATATAAATTCTCTGAAGAAGGACAGGTGGCTGGGTTGCCCACTCAAACGCTGAAATGCTGCGGGCAGAAAGGAGAAGAGAGTTTCATGGTTTGAGTTTTAGTTTCTCAAAACCTAGGCTATACTGTGTGTTCACAAAGACAAATGCTGAATTATCCCGGTGAGTGGGCTTAAACATTTACTGGCCTGTCGATACTCTTTGTCTATCAGCTCACCAAGTTCTCAGTTTTCCATTTGCCAACATCATAAGCAACTTGGAATTACAGCTCTGTGGTGTGAGAAGAAGCCTGAAACTATTATAAAAGCTTTGAATGAGGGCTTCAACTTTTACTAAAGCTTTTACTTCTCATTGTCTAATTTCATATGCATTAGCTGAGTCTAAAGGAGAAAAAATGTGTTTGGAGTTACCCCTATTACCTCTGAAGAAACATTTCCAGCAATAGTATTAGACCTGAACAAATCAGTAGACCTAAACCACGTGGATGGAACCATTTTTCTACATGCTCCGTTTTGCCAGTCCTGATTCAAGATATCTTCTAAGAACACTTCATGTCCCCATGCTTCTAAAAAGTTGGATTGGACTCAGTAATCCAAGGCTTGACTAGCAGTCTTTCTTATGTAATCAGCATAAACTTTGAAATGTATTGAAAGCTCCCAACGAATTTGATGGGACAGAGTATATTTAGAATTCACTAGTTTGAGATTACTAGGCTGTTAATAAATTTGGCCATTCCAATATTACATCTGAATAAAGTAAATGGGAAAAGTATCTATGAAAGTAAATTTTCAGTTGTATTTGAATGTAATGCCCTCCTAGCATTCTTTCCAAGAATTTCAATGGATAATTTCTGCCATTGGTTTAATTTATCAGTAGATTTGATCTTTATGCCAGGTAGAATGTGACCTTTTTCCACTGCATGACTTATTCTGGAAGTTTCTGGGAAGGTAAACATTTTGGAATGTGAAATGTGGTTGGGAACTTTTCCCTGCAGAAACACCGAGTACATAACAAGTTAAAAGGTATTTTCAATTTGGTGCTGATCCAGATTATAAAATGTGCTAAAGGGACTGAGCTCAGAATTTAAAGAGTTTACTTCTAATCGGAGTGTCACACCAGGTGCTAAACATGTTGACTCAAGTAGAAAATAGGGATCCATGTCATGAAATTTTAAAGCTAGAAGGAACCAGGATTTTTAAGTGTATTTCCACATCTCACAGATGAGTAACTGAAGTCTACATAGATTAAAGCAAGCTATTCAATAATCGTAGTGATCATGCATAACATTTGGTCCTGAAAACTTTTTAGATAAATCAAGAGCTAAGATACCTAACTAATCTGTAACATAACCACACATGCATAGTCAACTACTTCAAATATTTTTTAGGTCACTGTTTTATGGTTCAGCTGATGGCTAGTTATCCTTCATTCTATATAAATTAAGATTAAGTTTATTCAAGTAACAGGGTGGCATTAAAGAGGTATATCCTTAGTGAAGAGAGTGCTTTTTACTTGGCAATGAACTCCTTAAATATTCTTACACTAAAGAATTTACTACAAACCCCCACATATTATTGTGATTAAATAAGACATTGATGTTAATGTATATAACGTTTCACGCTCATGTTTCAATGACTGACTTAGGTGATCATAGGTAGCATATCTTTGTTTTAAATGGCAAGGGGTAATTATTTCTTTCGGGCACTCTACCTGCAATTTGGGTAGCTGCCTCTGGGAAGGCGATTATGTAAATATAGTTGTCTCCCATTCATCAACAGCATCAGCATCACCTGGGAACTTGTTAGAAATGCAAAATCATCCAGTCCTACCTCAGACCTAATGAATCAGAAACTTGGGAAGAAATGGTGCGAGCCCAGCAATCTGTGTTTTAACCACCCTCTATATGACGGTGATACTTACTCCATTTAAAAATCACTACCCTGGGAGAATTGTGGTGGTGGTTTATGAGAATAAAAGTCTTCTGACTTTGATATTTTAGACTCTTTTCTGCTAAATGAGTGATTTTTGCAAAGGCTCAAACAGTTTCTTTTGTAAGAGAAAAGTGTGAAAACTATGAAGACAGTTCCCTTTTCAGATTTTTAAATTCCTTCCCTTTGTTCCTTTATTTGTGGATTCAAAGACTGCTTGCTCACTGCATTCTTCTTCATATGGATATGCACAGACCCCTATGTAGACAGGCCAGGCTGTGGGGTTGCTATCCCGCATTTATTTTGCTGCTCTCCTAGCTGCTGTCTATGGCTTTCTTACTGGGAAACTGTCCCTCTCCCCTTCTGCTTCTGTGGCTGGTTCTGCTACACACAGCTCTCAGCAAGTCAAGATTGTCCTGTTCTAAGAAGCCTGCAAAGCCTTTACCCAGAGACTGGTGTCATCAAACTCCATTATTAGAATCTTCAACATTTCTTCCTATTAGTGATGTGAAATGTAAAAAGCCTTACTTGAGTTTCTTGAAGCTCAATAATGAAGCTCTGAAGATATAGTCGAGGGATTGCGCTAATTAAAATGCAGCTGGGTACAGAAGTAGAGGTAACTGCGGCTCGCTACGCCATGTCCCTGGTAATCAGCGGTCCCCGGTCTCCCCACAATAATTGACAGGAGATGCAGTGCTCCTGAGTGCACACACAGCGCACGCTAATGGAGCCGACACATGCTGCTCTTCCTGCCTGACTCCTCTCATTATCGACCTTGAACTGGCAAAGGTCAGAGGACGATGCTGCTTTCATCAACATGACAGGTGTCTGAGGAGCTTCCCTCTGTAGTCTAATAATTTGGCAGTTGTCTTATCCTGTACATGAATTAGTGATCTGATGCTTGAGATATAATGGATAAAAAGAATCTGTCAGCTCTGGGCAGGGGATATAGCTCTGGGCATCTGTATTAGTGCCATCACTAACACAGACTGGAAGGTGTATGTTGTAAGGGTGCCTTTTTGTCCTCTGCAGAGAAAGAATAAGTCTGTTTGTGGCCATTACATCAAAAGAGCATTTTTCCAGAAAATTGTTATCTATGGAAAAATGTTTCACCAAGGTATTAACATTCACAAGTCAATTTCTTTCTACCAAGTACACATTGACATCTGACAGTTTTCCAGTGTGGGCATAATGATAATGATAATGAATGTTCTTTGAGAAGACTTAAAATCAATTAGTAATATCTCCTGAGCATCCCCATGTGCTGGAGATGATTGCAGAAACTATGTGAGGGTACAAAAGAGACAAAAGGTGGTAGATGCAGTGAATATATGTGTACCGTGTTGTATACACACCACACACTGAGATATGCCAAACATAAACATATTGCAAAAAATAAAGACTGTACTCAAAGAAATATATGTGTAAAGGGGATAATGAAACACAGCATCTTCACTTGGCAAAATCTAACAACATTTATAAGCAACATTCCAGTGAAATACCTTCTTGTGGGTGAACTGCAGACCAGAGGAGTGAATTGGAAGGGCAAATGAATGAATATAGACATGGGTTTTCATGCGCGGCCGTGTGAAGAGACCACCAAACAGGCTTTGTGTGAGCAACATGGCTATTTATTTCACCTGGGTGCAGGCGGGCTGAGTCCGAAAAGAGAGTCAGCAAAGGGAGATAGGGGTGGGGCCGTTTTATAGGATTTGGGTAGGTAAAGGAAAAGGGGGGTTGTTCTCTGGTGGGCAGGAGTGGGGGTCACAAGGTGCTCAGTAGGGGAGCTTTTGAGCCAGGAGAAGGAATTTCACAAGATAATGCCATCCGTTAAGGCAGGAACAGTCCATTTTCACTTCTTTTGTGGTGGAATGTCATCAATTAAGGCAGGAATCGGCCATCCGGATGTGTACATGCAGGTCACAGGGGATATGATGGCTTAGCTTGGGCTCAGAGGCCTGACATTCCTGTCTTCTTATATTAATAAGAAAAATAAAATGAAATAGTGGTAAAGTGTTGGGATGGCGAAAATTTTTGGGGATGGTATAGGGAGATAATGGGCGGTGTTTCTCAGGGCTGCTTCGAGTGGGATTAGGGGCGGCGTGGGAACCTAGAGTGGGAGAGATTAAGCTGAAGGAAGATTTTGTGGTAAGGGGTGATATTGTGGGACTGTTAGAAGAAACATTTGTCATTTAGAATTATTGGTGATGGCCTGGATACAGTTTTGTATGAATTGAAAAACTAAATGGAATAAGAGAAGGAGAAAAACAGGTATTAAAGGTCTAAGAATTGGGAGGACCCAGGACATCTAATTAGAGAGTTCCTAAGGAGATTCAGCATAGTCCTGTCAGCAAAGATTATTTATTTACTTCAAGAGTTAAGAGTGGCGGTTTGGGGATAGCACCAGGAGATATCAGCTGTGATGGCTTGGGGAAACAGTGTAAACCGGCAGTGTAAACAAGAGCAGGGCATGTATGAGTAGCTGAGAACGGTGAATAGGAGTATGACTAGACAGAAGATAGAAAAGATGACAAGTTTTTTGGGGCACAGTCTAAGTTGGTCTGGTGTCTGGAATGAGACTGGGGCCTAATAAAAAGGAGCATCTATACAGGAGCTCAAATGGGCTGTACCTTGTAGCATTCCAAGGACAGGCCTGAATTCTGAGAAGGGAAAGTGGTAAAAGTATTGTCCAGTCTTTTTTAAGTTGGTGGCTGAGCTTGGTGAGGTGTGTTTTTAAAAGACCATTAGTCCGTTCTACCTTTCCTGAAGACTGAGGACTGTAAGGTATATAAAGGTTTCACTGAATACCAAGAGCCTGAAAAAATACTTGGCTGATTTGACTAATAAAGGCTGGTCTGTTATCAGACTGTATAGAGGTGGGAAGGCCAAACTGAGGAATTATGTCTGACAGAAGGGAAGAAATGACCGCGGTGGCCTTCTCAGACCCCGTAGGAAAGGACTCTACCTATCCGGTGAAAGTGTCTACCTAGACTAAGAGGTATTTAAGTCAATTTGCCAGTCCTGGGCAGGGACAAATCTTCGAGCTTGATGTGTAGGAAAGGGAGGGGACCTGAACAATCCCTGAGGGGTAGTAGAATAGCAGATGGAACACTGAGAAGTGATCTCCTTGAGGATAGATTTCCATGATGGAAAGGAAATGAGAGGTTCTAAGAGACGGGCTAGTGGCTTGTACTATAGCATAGCCTGCCTTTGCTGGTGTGTGGCGATTAGGCCTGGTGGAACTGCCATCAATAAACCAAGTGTGATCAGGATGAGAAACAGGGAAGAAGGAAATGTGGGGAAATGGGGTGAACGTCAGGTGGATCAGAGAGATACAGTCATGGGGGTCAGGTGTGGTATCAGGAATAATGTGGGAGGCCGGATTGAAGTCTGGGCCAGGAACAATGGTAATTGTGGGACTTAACAAAGAGTGAGTACAGCTGAAGGAGCTGGGGAGCAGAAAGTATATGCGTCAGGTATGAGGAAGAAAATAGATTTCGGAAGTTATGAGAAATGTAGAAAGTAAGTTGAGGATAGTTTGTGATTTTGAGGGCCTCTAAAAGTATTAGGGCGGCAGCAGCCGCTGCACGGAGACATGATGGCTAGGCTAAAACAGTAAGGTCAAGTTGTTTGTACAGAAAGGCTACAGGGTGCGGTCCTGGCTCTTGTGTAAGAATTCTGACCACACTAACCATGCCTAGGAAGGAAAGGAGTTGTTGTTTTGTAAGGGATTGAGGTTTGGGAGATTAATCAGACACGATCAGCAGGGAGAGCATGTGTATTTTTATGAGAATTATGCTGAGATAGGTAACAGATAAGGAAGAAATTTGGGCTTGACTGAAGTAATGGGGGCTGTCTGTGAAGCTTTGCAGCAGTAAAGCCTAGGTAATTTGCTGAGCCTGATGGGTGTCAGGGTCAGTCCAAGTGAAAGCGAAGAGAGGCTGGGATGACGGGTGCAAAGGAATAGTAAAGAAAGCATGTTTGAGATCCAGAACAGAATAATGGATTGTGGAGGGAGGTATTGAGGATAGGAGAGTATATGGGTTTGGCACCATGGGGTGGATAGGCAAAACAATTTGGTTGATAAGGCATAGATCCTGAACTAACTTGTAAGGCTTGTCTGGTTTTAGGACAGGTAAAATGGGGGAATGATAAGGAGAGTTTATAGGCTTTAAAAGGCCGTGCTGTAACAGGTGAGTGATAACAGGCTTTAATCCTTTCAAACTGTGCTGTGGGATGGCATATTGGCATTGAGTGGGGTAAGGGTGATTAGGTTTTAATGAGATGGTAAGGGGTGCATGATCGGTCACCAAGAAGGGAGTAGAGGTATCTTATACATGTGGGTTAAGGTGGGGGATACAAGAGGAGGACGCAAAGGAGGCTTTGGATTGGGAAGAAGGGCAGCAATGAGATGTAGCTGTAATCCAGGAATAGTCAGGGAAGCAGATAATTTAGTTAAAGTGTCTCGGCCTAATAAGGGAACTGGGCAGGTGGGGATAACTAAAAGGAATGGTTAAAAGAGTATTGTCTAAATTGGCACCAGAGGTGGGGAGTTTTAAGAGGATTAGAAGCCTGGCTATCAATACCCACAACAGTTATGGAGGCAAGGGAAACAGGTCGTTAAAAATAAGGTAATGTGGAGTGGGTAGCCTCCGTATTAATTAAGAAGGGGACCGACTTACCTTCCACTGTGCGAGTTACCCGAAGCTCAGCATCCGTGATGGTCTAGGGGGCTTCCGAGGTGATCGGGCAGTGTCAGTCTTCAGCCGCTAAGCCAAGAAGATCTGGGAAGGAGTCAGAGAGCCTTAGGCCAGAGTTCCAGGGGCTCTGGGAGTGGCTGCCAGGTGAGTTGAACAGTCCGATTTCCAGTGGGGTCCCGCACAGATGGGACGCGGCTTAGGAGGAATCCTGGGCTGCAGGCATTCCTTGGCCTGGTGGCCAGATTTCTGGCACTTGTAGCAAGCTCCTGGGGGAGGAGGTTCTGGAGGAACGCCTGGCCACTGTGGTTCAGGCATTTGGAAGTTCTTGTGTGCTGGAGATGTGGCTGGGGTTTGTCTCACAGTGGAGGCAAGGAATTGCAACTTTTTTCTATTATTGTACACCTTGAAGGCGAGGTTAATTAAATCCTGTTGTGGGGTTTGAGGGCCGGAATTTAATTTTTGGAGTTTTATTTAATGTTGGGAGCAGATTGGTAATAAAATGTATTTTGAGAATAAGACGGCCTTTTGAACTTTTAGGGTCTAGGGCTGTAAAGTGTCTCAGGGTTGCTGCCAAACGAGTCATGAACTGGGCTGGATTTTTATATTTGATGAAAAAGAGCCTAAATGCTATCCGATTTGGGATAAAGAAAAAGGAGCATTAACCTTGACTATGCCTTTAGCTCCAGCCACCTTCTTAAGAGTAAATTGCTGGGCAGGTGGGGGAGGGCTAGTCACGGAACGAAACTGCAAGCTGGACCGGGAGTGAGGAGGGGAGGTGATAAAAGGATTATAGGGTGGAGGAGCGGAGGCTGAGGAAGAATTGGGACCTAGCTCGGCCTGGCGAGGAGCAGCCTGGGGAGGAGGGGAGAGGTCAGATGGGTCTGTAGAAAAGGAAGATTAGAAAGACTCAGTGACACTTGGGGTTGGGACTGAGGGGACAGGTGGGAGGGAAAGAAGGAAGATTTGGGATGAGTTGCGCTGGGCACAGAGACTAGGGAGGGACCGATGTGTAAAAGAATGCCTGGACGTCAGGCATCTCAGACCGTTTGCCCATTTTACGACAAGAATTATTTAGATCTTGCAGGGTGGAAAAATTGAAAGTGCTGTTTTCTGGCTATTTGGAACTACTGTCAAGTTTGTATTGGGGTCAAGCGGCATTGCAGAAGAAAATAAAGTGCTTAGATTTTAGGTCAGGTGAGAGTTGAAGAGGTTTTAAGTTCTTAAGAACACAGGCTAAGGGAGAAGAAGGGGGAATGGAGGGTGGAATGTTGCCCATAGTGAAAGAGGCAAGTTTAAGGAAAAGGGAGAGTAGAGACATGGAGGGAAGCGGTTCGGGGGTTCTTACCCTCCAGAAAAGCGGGAAAGGGGTTGGGGTGCAGAGATACGAGGTTGGGGTGTGGAAATAAGGGATCAGGGTGCAGAGATATAAGAGGTTGGGGCATGGAAATAAGGGATCGGGGCACAGAGATATAAGAGGTTGGGGCACGGAAATGAGGGATTGGGGCACAGAGATAAGAGGTCGGTGCACAGAAATAAGGGATTGCGGCGCAGAGATATAAGAGGTTGGGGTGCGGAAATAAGGGATTGGGGCGCAGAGATATGAGCTTGGGGCACTTGCCCCTCCTCTAGAAAAGCGGGACTTGCCACTAAGAGTGAAGGAGAAGGGGTTGGGGGTTCCTTGCCCCCCAGAAAGGCGCAGAAGGGGTAGAGACACGGAGAGAAGGGGTTGGGGTACTTGCCCCTACCCCAGAAAAGTGGGACTTGCTGCTAAGGGTGAAGGACCAAGGTAGGCGTCCCTGCGTGGTCTGACACCTCTGAAACCTGGATGAATAATCAGAGAGGTGTCCCTGCAATGATTAAACACCAAGGGAAGGCTGCCTTCCCTAGTCCGTGACCAGTGCCAGAGTTTTGGGTCCACAGATAAAACGTGTCTCCTTTGTCTCTATCAGAAAATGAAAGGAATTGAAATTAAAAGAAGGGAGAGATTGAAGAGTGGAAAGGTGAAAGTGGTTGAGGGACAGTGAGAGAGGTTGGAGAAGAGAGGAAAAAGAGGCCACTTACTGGATTTGAAATTGGTGAGATGTTTCTTGGGCTGGTTGGTCTGAGGACCTGAGGTCGTAGGTGGATCTTTCTCATGGAACAAATAGCAGGAGGACAGGGGATTGATCTCCCAAGGGAGGTCCCTCGATCCGAGTCACGGCACCAAATTTCATGTGCATCTGTGTGAAGAGACCACCAAACAGGCTTTGTGTGAGCAACATGGCTATTTATTTCACCTGGGTGCAGGCGGGCTGAGTCCGAAAAGAGAGTCAGCAAAGGGAGATAGGGGTGGGGCCGTTTTATAGGATTTGGGTAGGTAAAGGAAAAGGGGGGTTGTTCTCTGGCGGGCAGGAGTGGGGGTCACAAGGTGCTCAGTAGGGGAGCTTTTGAGCCAGGAGAAGGAATTTCACAAGATAATGCCATCCGTTAAGGCAGGAACAGTCCATTTTCACTTCTTTTGTGGTGGAATGTCATCAATTAAGGCAGGAATCGGCCATCCGGATGTGTACATGCAGGTCACAGGGGATATGATGGCTTAGCTTGGGCTCAGAGGCCTGACATGGGTAAAGAAAGTATTTTGCATGTTTCCACTGAGTAGTTTTTCCTCCTTTGTCAACTTGTAAAATTTCTATCTAATATCAAATTCTACTGCAGAATTAACCACCCTATTTAAATTTTTCTGAGCCTATTCTGAAGAACAAAGTTGACCATGGCTTCTTCTTTGACATTCATCTATGTGGCAAATATTTTTCGTATCACCTGTATTGTAGTTGGTTGTAATTATTTGTTCCCATGCCTATTTTTTATTGTGTAATACAGTGTAGTATAATTCAATATATCATGGTAAGATTGGAGACAGAGTGTGGACTTTGGAATCAGATGAACGGGGGAAAAATTAGATCTCTGCTTTTTGTGAATTGTTTGTCTCATGGTGCTTTACTTAATCTCTCTAAATCTCAGTTCTCTCATCTAAAAAATGGGGATAACAACAACTAACTCACAGAGAGATTGCGAGACTCACATAAAATGATGTATTCAGGTTTTCAGTAATGCTGGTTCCTCTCTCGGCTCCATCTTATTCCAACTACAGTATTTACAATCCTAGAGGATAGAAATAGTGTTTTGAGAAATAGTGTTTTGCTCCTCTCTATAGCCTCATTACTTAATACTGTATCTGGCATAAACAGGTGTTCAATGAAATTTGCTGAATTAAACCAAGTGGCCTAAAATATTCATGTAGACTGATTGCATTATTCAAATTTGACTCCAATTTGTTTCATGGACTTGGAAGAATTTATTCACAGCATTATCTGTTGTTCTCTTTACCTCTATTTTACTATATGTATGGTTGAGGGAGTTTTGTGCACATTTCAGACTTGTGGTTAGCCAAGTCTGAAAATAATTTATTTTGAAAAACAAATGTTTCTTCCAAAAATATGGATAAATGGAATTTGTTTTAACTTATTTGAGACAAAAATAAAAAACTTACCCCAAGGTTTCTGCTCTTATATTTAAAGGTCATTAACTATCATGTTTAATTAAATATGTGTGTATCTGAGAAAATATATGAAATAATATAGCAGTATGAGCATTGTTTTATTAATGTAGTCATATAGGAACTATATACTTGTTCCATTTATGTTTGCACATTTGAAAAATTCCTAAAACAAGTCTTTTGAAATAATATTCACAAATTGTGTAATATTTTAACTTTTTTATTGTGGTACAATGCACATAACATAAAATTTATCATTTTAACCATTTTTAGCATTCACTTCAGTGGCATTAATTACATTCACATTGTTTTGGAACCATCACTATTATCTATGTCTAGAACTCTTTTCATCTTTCAAACTGAAACTCTGTACCCTTAAACAATAACTCTCCATTCCCTTCTCTCTGTAATCCTTAGTAATCTCTAATGTACTTTATGCCTCTCTGAATTTGACCACTCTAGGTATCTCATATGGGTGGAATCATGCTGTATTTGTCTCTTTGCGACTGGCTAATTTTACTTAGCACAAAATCCTCAAGGTTGTTGAGCATGTCCTCAACATGCTTATCCATGTTGTAGCATGTGTCCAAATCATCTTCCTTATAAGACTGAATAATAATATTCCATTTTATGTTTATACCACATTTTGTTTATTCATTTATTCATTAAAGGATACTTGGGATCCTTCCAACTTTTTGGCTATTGTGAATAGTGTTGCTATGAACATGAATGGACAAATATCTCTTTGTGTCCCTGCTTTGACTTACTTTTGTTATATACTGGGGATGCAATTGCTAGATCATATGGTAACTCTCTGTCTAATTTTGAACAACTTCCCTACTATTTCCCATAGTAATTGCCCATTTTACATCCCCACCAATAATGCACAAGGGTTCAGTTTATCCATGTCTTTACCAACACTCGTTATTATTATTTTCCCTTTGATAGTTAGCTATTCTAATGGGTGTGACAGAGCTTGTATAATATTGATTACCTTCAGTGGTCTCTAACCCCCGAACTAATGGTATTAGATGGTACAGTCTTTTAGGAAGTGATTAGTTCATGAGGGCTCTTCCCTTATTAATGGAATTAGTATCCTTATAAAGGAGGCCCCAGAAAGCTGCCTTATGTCTTCCACTATGTGAGGATGCAGCAAGAAGACACATTCTATGAAACAGAAGACAATGAATCTGCTAATGCCTTGTTCTTGGACTCCCCAGCCTCCAGAACTATAAGAAATAAATTTATGTTGTGTATAAACCATTCAGTCTATGGCGTTTTCTTATAGCAACCTGAATGGACTAAGATATACTTCATATACCTTTGACAAGAGTCCAAACTATTTCAGATTATGCTTCCTTCCTGCCTCCCTTCCTGCCTTCTCTCCTGCTTTCCTTCCTGATTAATCCAGTTCAAAAGTGATTAGGTGAGGCTGAGCAAGACAGTCATCCAGGTCTGGGGGCAGTGTGCAGAGCACTCCAGCATGGCTGTCAGTGCCTGAATATGGCGAGGAGGCACCATGCTATGAGTGTGGTAGTCGGGGAGTCTCACTTGTCTTCTGAGCAGAGTGGGATGGCATCTACATGGCATTGGACCAGAGTGCAATGTCCAAGGTCAAGAAGGTAAGGAGGATGCATGTCTGCATGAGTTGACAGTGGTGGTGGTGATGAAAATTGTCCACCTTTAAAGGGATTGATCAAATAAGTAAATACATTGAGCATAATTGGAGCCAATTGCTCACCGTTAGAGAAAGGAGTTACAAATTTGGAATGGGAGAAAAAGATCATGAATAATTTAAGGTTGGATTGTAATTGATGGTGTCCGTGTGAACTTGTGTAGTATCTTGGGAACATGAACAGCCTAATAGCAATGGGCACACCCAGCATCTTCCTCATGGCTTGTAAATCCCTTTCACCACTCTGAAGCTCTCTGGAGCAGTGACTGATTTCAAGGCAGGGACAGGAAAAGTATAAGATGAGCCTGGAATATTTTGTTGTACTAGGAAGTAAGAAAGTATTCAAAGAATGTTATAGACATATCAAAATGTCACAGAAGCCAGCTTGAAAGAGCTCCACTGGTCAAGGCTGGGATGATCTGAGCAACAACAACAAATTGTGACAGATTATAACCAATTGGATAAAATAAAAATCTATGCATCTGTACTGACATAAACAAATAAAAGAATAGGATATGGGGAGAAGAAAAGCTTTTTTATGGTAGAATGCCAATGAATAAATGTAGGAAAAAATAATGGAGTTAGAAAATAGCCACTTGATAAGTAACAGAGTGATAATTAATTCAACCAAGAAACACCAGTGGATGCTAAGACTAATGGGTAAAAGTTTGATGAAGAACTGGATAATTCACAGACTCAGAGTCCCTCCCTTAACATACTTTTTCCTCACAGGAGACACACAGAAACTTTATAATGGAGAAACCTGACAGACAAGGTTAACAGCCCCGGTTACATAGCATAGCAACTTCATGTGTCACAGGTCAAGAAGCAACCAGAAGAATCCAGCTTTACTTTCATACTATTCTTGACAAAAATGCATAACCTGAATTGAAGCAGGAAGAAAGGTCTGGTAAACTTAAACTAAGAAACCTTCTGCCAATTAACTGGCCTGTAATGTTCCAAAGTGTCAAGGACTCAAAAGTCAAGGAAAAACTGAGGAACCATTCCAGATTAGGTGGCTAAGCAGACACAGCAATGAAATATGCTTTATTTACCTGGGTGGATCTTCTGTTTGGAAAGGGTCTCTTTGGCTAACCTGATGAGAGTCTGTGAATTATTATTATTATTATTATTATTATTATTATTATTACTGTGAGACAGAGTCTTACTCTGTTGCCCAGGCTGGAGTGCAATGGCTGAATCTTGGCTCACTGCAACCTCTGCCTCCTGGGTTCAAACGATTCTCCTGCCTCTGCCTCCTGAGTAGCTGGGATTACAGGCATCCACCATCACGCCTGGATAATTTTTGTATTTTTAGTAGAGATGAGATTTCACCATGTTGGCCAGGCTGGTCTTGAACTCCTGACCTCAGGTGATCCACCTGCCTTGGCCTCCCAAAGTGCTGGGGTTACAGGTGTGAGCTACTGCACCCAGCCACTATTATTATTATTTTTTATTTTTGAGGTGGAGCTTTACTCCCATTGCCCAGGCTGGAATTCAGTGGCATAATCACAGCTCACTGCCGCCTTGAACTTCCAGGCTCAGGTGATCCTCTCATCTCAGCCTCCCAAGTAGCTGGACTACAAGTGTGTGCTTCCGTGCCTGGCTTGCTTATTTATTTATTTTTGAGACAGAGTCTTGCTCTGTCACCCTGGCAGGAGTGCAGCGGCAGGATCTCAGCTCACTGAAACCTCTGCCTCCCAGGTTCAAGCGATTCTCCTGCCTCAGCCTCCCGAGTAGCTGGGATTACAGGTGCCCGCCACCATGCCTAGCTAATTGTACTTTTAGTAGAGACAGGGTTTCACCATGTTGGCCAGGCTCATCTCGAACTCCTAACCTCAGGTGATCCACCCGCCTCAGCCTCCCAAAATGTTGGGATTATAGGCATGAGCCACTGCGCCCAGCCTAAATTTTTGTATTTTAGGAGAGACCAGGTTTTACCACATTGCCCAGGCTGATCTCAAATTCTTGGGCTCCGGCGATCTGCCTGCCTTAGAAACTGTGAATTATTAATAGGTGGTCACAATGAAGCAATGTCAACTGCATGGTTGTAGTATGCTTATGTTGCAGAAAGTCCTCATTGGTAGGAATTACACACTAATATATTCAGCAGTGATGGAGCCTTATATCGGCAACTTACTCTTAAGTAGTTCAGGAAAAAGAGTTATTTCTACAATTCTTGCAACTTTTTTTTAATTAAAAGTAGATATGTAAAACTGAAAATGAAATGACGGTAGCTTCATTGGAAAATGAAGTCTGTAATGGAGACTAGTTTGAAGACAGTAACGTGTAAAATGTACCTGCTCAGATGTTTTAAAAACGTTATTTGTATTCAAATGTCGCTATTCTCTTCCTTTGTCCTTTTTGAAAGATCAATAGCTAAGGAGAAAAACCATGATAAAACAAACCAAGAGCAATCTAAATAAAAATATAACCAAGACCATCAATAATAAGTCATGTTGTTAACAAGTACCCTCTGCTAGGATGCAGTGAGAATGCCACTTCATCTCTGTAGTATTCTTCCTCTAAAACTCTAACTCCAGTCTAATCATGAGGAAACATCAGAAAATACAAATTGAAGGACACTCTGCAAAATGCCTGACCAGAATGCTCTTTGGGAGTGTAAAGGACATGGAAGACAAACACTGAGAAACTCACAGTTGAGAGGAACCTAAGGAGGAAGGTCACTAGATATGATTGTTACCCTGGCTTAGATCCTGGGATAGAAAGAGAGCGTTAGTAGACGAATTGGTATAATCTGAATAAAGTTGGTAGTTTTGTTCATAGTATTGGATGAATGTTAAATACTTAGTTTTGATAAGTTTACTTTGGTTTTGTAAAATGTGAAGGTTAGGGAAGCTGGGTATTGGAATTGTCTTACTGTCTTTGCAACTCTTCTGTAAATCTAAAATTATTTCAGAATAAAAAGTTAAAAAGCATGTATGCCCCAAAATGCAGATATCCTCTCAAAAATGCAAATATACCAATGGGGTATATTCATGTCATGAACTAGCCAAATGTATGTGTTGGCTCTACTGTTTTGAACCTACAATGACAAGAAAAGTGCACAGACTCAATTCATCACCGGAAATAACACAAGCTTAGGTTTGCCTTATTTCTTGGAAGCCAGATGATAATATAAACATTTCTGTGAAAGAAATATTTATAGGAGGCAGGAGGTAGGATCAGTAAAACGGATCTCAGTTGGTCTCCTATGTAGGGTTGAGTCCACCTACTCTGGAATTTGGCCTCCCGTGTCCATTGTTCTCTATCCTTCTTCCTTGGGATCTCTGCTTCATCCTGCTGCAGCCTCTTGCATTCAAACAAACAGGCCCAATTACTCTGAGTGCTCACATTGTTTAGACTCATAGAACAAATAAGCCTCCTAAATATATTTTTCACTAATTAAGTTTTTGTCTCTCATAGCATAACCTTGAAGCATATTCCCATTCAGGAAAATCTTCTCTTAGGAATGAGAATGAGGAAAAACAAAGGTGGTGAAGGTAATAGAAAATGTCATCCTGCCATGAGTTTGAATTTCCTTGTTGGGTAGGTGTTGGCTCAGTATTAAAAGGAAATACTGTGAATAGAGGGAAATTAGAATTGGAATTTTATTTTCGAACATAAAAACACTGCCATTAGCAACGTATACCTGAAATCAAAAAATGCAAACAGAACAGCAAAACAAAAAGCCTCAAAGAAACAAATAAACTAACAAAAAACAAAATAACAGCAAAATAACTCTGGAAAGCTAATGCCCAGGAAGCCAGACAAGAAGTTGGGAAGGATGGAGATTTGTATGGCTGGCGCTGGGGTATACTCAGTGAAACTGGCTCACACACATTGCTAGAGGCAGGGTAAAATCATTCAACGGTTTTGGAAAGCAACTTGAAAATGTGTACCAAAACTCATTACTGTGTTTGAACCTTTTACCTCAAGCATTCCACATCTGTGAGAGTAATCTAATTAAATACTAATTCAAAATATGGTAAAATACATCCATTGCTGTATAATTTATAATTGTGAAAAAAATGGAGTTAACTTGGATGTTCAGTAAAAAGTGAATAACTAAATAAACCCAATAGCATATTATGAAAGTATGAAAGATAATAATTGCAAAGTTGAAAACTCTTAGAAACATAGAAAGGTACCCTCGCAGACTGCATTGTCCAGGACGATGGCTACCGGTACCATGTGGCTTTGAGCACTGGAAACAGGTCTTGTCCAAATCGAGGTATGCTGTGAAAGCAAAAGACATTGGACACTGGATTTCAAAGACTTGATACAAAAAATGTTAAATATTTCATTAACAATTTTTTATTGATTACATGTTGAAATGATAATATTTTAGATATATTGGGTTAAATAAAATATAGTAGCAAAATTAATTTCAATCATTTCTTTAAAAATTTGAACTTGCATATTTGGCTTGCACTATATTTCTATTGAAAAGTGCTTGTCTAGACTATGAGCCCTTTGAAGACAGGGTTAACTCTTGGTCCATGGCTCCCAGTTTGTTCTCATCAATTGTTCTGTTAACCACCTGATGAATGAATGATTATAACATTGATTTTAAAATGTATGCAATTACATGTGCAGTAAGCTTACACCTATGTAAAATATTCATATTATAAAAGACAGAAGGTGATCTACAAAATTGAAGGTGTTGGTTGTCTTAGGATGGTGAGATTATGGGTCACTTTATTATTTTTCAAACTTTCTGTGGAATAATTTTCTTCTCATAATGTAAAGGATTTTTTTTTTTTTTAATGAAACCAGGACTTGTGAGGGTTTTTTGTTCGCTTGTTTATTTGTTTGTTGTGGGGATGGAAGGATACACATATGAATCATCTTCAAAGACTCCTGGCTGTGGCTGATTCCAGTGGTCTCTCTAATGTGGGGGAGGACATACCTTATATAGGGCCTGGAGGGGTGATTCTTGAGTGTTGTAGCACACCATGGCTAACAGCAGCCTGCTGTTGGTGCTGGGCAGAAATCTCTTTGGCCCAGAGCAAGCAATGAAGATTTTATATTCTTCATCTTCTGCAAGGAGCTGCAGTTGTTTCTCAAGGTCAGGTCAGAGAGCATCCTGAGGATGAGGAATAACAGTCCTCGAAGGGCTTTCCATCTTGGCAACGGTTCATACCCATGTAAAGCTGATAACAAAATAATTCCAAAATAAACAAACAGTGGGTGCCTAAGTGCCCTCAGAGATCAGTAAATCTGAGCACATGTAAGCTGCCAGTGTGAGAAGCAGATAAAACCTCCTTCTAACATCCCGATGCACTAAAGCAGATGGAAACACCATATCAGGGTGCCTAGACAAACAAAACAAGACAAAAACTTTCTTTGCCTAGAAAAGCAAACTAGCTCTTACACCAAGGCAGAGCGAAAGTCCTGACCATTTAACAAATTCTAGACTGTGACAAATTTAATTGATTCAACAGAGATTTATTGACACCCTATTTGTGTTCTAGGTATGGTTTTCAAGGCTAGATACAGCAGTAAGCAATGCTTGCAAAATTCCATGCCTTCCCTTTATTTATGTTCTTGAGGGATAAATCAAGTCAATAAACAAATGTGTAATTTAATATATAGCATGTAAGATGACTATAAATACTAAGGAAAAAATAAAGCAGAGAATGAGGGTACAGGACAGTTGTGGAAGAGTAAGCTGCAATTTTAGAGTGGGTGGCTCAATATTTGAGTGAAGAAAACTTGAAGGAGGTGAGGAAATAAAACATGTAGATTTTTGATAGAAAAACATTTCAAGAAAGGAAACAGCAATTGTAGAGCCTTGAAGTAGGAGCTTGCCTGGCATGTTTGAAGAACAACAAAAAATCACTGAGACTTAAGGAAAAGTTGGGTGCAGTGGCTCACGCCAGTAATCCCCAGCACTTTGGGAGGCTGAGGTGGGTGGATCACCTTAGCTCAGGAGCTCAACATCAGCCTGGGCAACCTGGTGAAATCCCCGTCTCTATTAAAAAAATACAAAAATTAGCCAGGTGTGATAGTATGCACTTGCAGTCTCAGCTACTGGGGAGGCTGAGGTGGGAGGATCACTTGAGCCCAGGAGGTGTAGGTTGCATTGAGCTGAGGTTGCACCACCTCACTCTAGCCTGGGCAATGGAGCAAGGCCCTGTCAAAAAAAAAAAAAGGAAAGGAAGGAAGGAAGGAAAGAAGGAAGGAAAGAAGGAAGGAAAAGAAAGAGAGAGAGAAAGAGAGAAGGAAGGAAGGAAAGAGAGAGAGAAAAAAGAAAGAAAGAAGAAAGAAAGAAAGAAAAAAAGGCTGGGCACAGTGGCTCACGCCTGTAATCTCAGCACTTTGGGAGGCCTGGGCGGGTGGATTGCCTGAGCTCAGGAGTTTGCGACCAGACTGAGCAACACGGTGAAACCCTGTCTCTACTAAAATACAAAAAAATTAGCCAGGCATGGCAGCGTGTGCCTGTGGACCCAGCTACTTGGGAGGCGGAGGCAGGAGAATTGCTTGAATCGGGGAGGAGAAGGTTGCAGTGAGCCGAGATCATGCCACTGCACTCCTACCTGGGCGACACAGCAAGACTCCATCTCAAAAAAAAAAAAAAAAAAAAGAAAAAAAAGAAAAGAAAAGAAAGAAAGGGAAAAAAAGGGCAGGTAGGCAAAGGGGAAGTCAGACTTGTGGGGCCTGATTGTGCAGTGTTTTAGGGGATTACCAGGACTTTTGGCTTTTACTGAGTGAAATGGGAAGATTACAGGATTTTGAGCATGAAAATGAGATGATTAACCTACACTTTAAGCATCTGAGTTCAGAATATTAAACTTGAAAATCAGTTTGGAAGTTTTTGCAATAAAAAAGTTACGAAGATCTAATGGCAAATGTAATCAGCGGTTTAGGTTCTGGGTATGACTTAATGGTAGATCTGATTGGCTTTTTTGACTGGCTGGATATAGGGTATGAACAAAGTAGAGGAACTGATGATGATGATGCCAGATACTTTCACCCAACTTAGTGGGAGGATGGATTTTACCATTTACTGGTCATACAAAGTGCTGGCGAGGATGTGGAGGAACTGGAACTCACACGCTTCTCGTGGGAATGTAAAATGGCACAACCACTATGAAAACCACTTTGGTAATTTCTTCTACATTTAAAACATATGTTTACTATATGACCAATCATTTCATGCCTAAATATTTACCAAAGTGAAATGAAAACTTATGTTCACACAAAAACCTGCATGTTAACATTTACAGCCGTATTATATTTAATCACAAAAACGTGGAAACACCCCAAAAGTCCCTCTCCCCAGGGATGAATTAACAAACTGTATTACATCAACACATTGAAATACTGTTAAGCAATAAAAAGGAGCAAATTACTGATTAGCATAAAAACATGGATGGTCAGTGAAAGAAGCCTGATTCAAGAAGGCTTTATGCCGTATAATTCCATTTATATGATATTCTGAAAAAGGCAAGACCATAGAGGTAGAACACGAACCAGTAATTGCCAGAGATGGTGGTGAGAGGGGGAAATTTGACTATAAAGGGGTGAAGGGGAATATTTTAAGGGGGATGGAAGCATTCTATAGCTTGATTGTGGTGATGGTTACAAGTCTGTATGCACCTGTCAAAACTTGCAGATGTATACAACAAAAAGGGCAACTTATATAGTACATAAATTATGGCTTAATTTTTTTTTTTTTTTTTGAGATGGAGTCTCACTCTGTAGCCCAGGCTGGAGTGCAGTGGCTCGATCTCAGCTCACTGGAAGCTCTGCCTCCCAGGTTCATGCCATTCTCCTGCCTCAGCCTCCCAAGTAGCTGGGACTACAGGTGCCCGCCACCACGCCTGGCTAATTTTTTGTATTTTTAGTAGAGATGGGGTTTCACCGTGTTAGCCAGGATGGTCTTGATCTCCTGACCTCGTGATCCACCCGCCTCCACCTCCCAGTGTGCTGGGATTACAGGCGTGAGCCACTGTGCCCGGCTGGCTTAATTTAAAAATAGTAAAAAAGGGAAGTAAAATTATGAGGGATATTTTTAGGTGAGAGAAATAATATCAAGGTGGAGTGTGAATGGGAAAGAAGTGGTAGAATGGGAAAAAGTAATGTTGCAAGAGGAAGAGGAGGGGATTGAGCAGTGACCTGGAACAGGTTAGAAAGGATAGGAGCTCATAAACAGGTGGAGGGGATGGCCTCTGTGGGGACTTGCCAGGGGTAGTTCACCCAGTATAGTGAGACAGAAGGCAGTGGGTATGGGTAGAGAGGATAAAGGCAGAGGTATAATTTTATAGTAGATGCGATAGTGCTGGGGGCTTTCCATTGTTTTCCTTGAACTTTGATTTTTGTAGTGAAGTAGAAAGTGAGCACATCAGCTGAGACTGATGATATAAAAGAAGTGTTGGATGTTTGAAGAGACAGGAGAAGATATGAACTAATTGTTTAGGACAGGGGTCCCCAACCCCTGGGCCATGGGCTGGTACTTGTCTGTGGTCTGTTAGGAACTGGGCAGCATGCAAAACTTCACCTGTATTTATAGCTGCTCCCCGTCACTCACATTACTGCCTGAGCTCTGCCTCCTGTCGGATCAGTGGCGGCATTAGATCTCATAGAAGCGCAAACCCTATTGTGAACTGTGCATGTGAGTGATCTAGGTTGTATGCTCCTTATGAGAATCTAATTCCTGATGATCTGAGGCGGAGCTGAGGTGGTGATGCTTGCTCTGGGGAGCAGCTGCAAATACAGATTAACATTAGCAGAGACATTTGACTGCACAGAGACCATAATGTTAAATCAATTGCCTGCAGACTCATATCAAAACCCTATCAGTGAGTGGCAGGTGACAATGAAGCTGCATCTGGTGGCAGTCTTTATAGTGGCAAGTGAGTTGATGTACTTCAGTTGTACAGCTGCATCTGGTGTCCTTAAAAGTATGTTTGAGGCAACTTCAAATCTCCATATGTTCTGGATTACAGTCAAGGCAGAATATCCCGAGATTGCCGAGATTGCCAAGAAAGTACTGAAAATCCTGCTTCCATTTCCAACATCCTAACTTTGTGAAGCAGGGTATTCTGCAGTGACAGCAACCAAAACAAGATTATAGAGTAAACTGGACATAAACAACACACTTTGGGTGTCACTGTCTCCCATCACCCCCAGAAGGGACCTTCCAGTTGCAGGAAAACAAGCTCAGGGCTCCCACTGATTCTACATTATGGTGAGTTGTATAATTATTTCACTATACATTACAATGTAATAATAATAGAAATAAAGTGCACAATAAATGTAATGTGCTCGAATCATCCTGAAACCATGCCCCTCCTTGGTTCGTGGAAAATTGCCTTCCACAGAACTAGTCCCTGGTGCCAAAAAGGTTGGGGACCACTGGTTTAGGAGAGAGAGGAATGAATAACTAGGAAAGCACTGTGGGCTTTCCAGGGGTGTTGAGGACCTCCTTGAAGTTCATCATGAATTTATAGCAACATTAGAACTGTGGTTGTGTGCTCTTTTCCAGCTATGGGGATGGAGTAGGCAAAGAGTTGGATTTAGCCAGGGTTGGGATTTAGCCAAATGAATATGTTGATAATTGGTGCAATTAATAAAAAGTAAGCCCCTTGTCCAATTTTAGGTTAAGGCAAAGCAGGAGGTGGTGGTAGTGTGACTTCTTTTTCCCCCAGATTGATTTTTTTTTTTTTTCATTTGAAGTCTAAATCTCTATTCAGAAAAAGCCTTGGGCAAACTTGAGAAATTAAGCAGATTTCTCAGCATTCTCTTTGCGCCAACTTCACCCACACACAGGGGTGTGCTGCAGCCTGCCCGTTCTTGATTAAGGTAGCTGATTGCTAAATTATCAGGAATTTTGCAAGCTAGTTGTTAAGGACAGTTTAAATTTGGTCATGGTGGGAGTATTTACACCATGGAAATCAGTAAATGCTACAAATCTTCAGGTAGTCGGTTGTTAACCATTTACTGCACACACTCCTGCCTTTCAGGCCCATCTATCTTAATCTACTGGCCTTTAAGGTTATTGTTTCATTACCTGTGCTGGCTTGGCATCCACAGGTATAAACTGCTAAGCCTTCCTCGATGTGGACATTCACTTGTCTCAAATATCTTTCAGTCCCTACTTGCTCATTCTACCTGGCTGAGCTCATTAATTTATACTATCGTGCTAAAAGTAGAGGAGGCTAGAGATGTCTCTCAAGTAATTTGTAACCTTTAAATGAGGACTTTCTGGAGACGTCACCAGTTTGACTTTCAGCATTGGTACTTCATCATGAAGAGGTAGGCAGACATAGAGTCAGACTAGTAGGGAAGAAGGCTGGGACTGAAGGAATCTTTCACCATATATCAAAACTCTTTCTCTGCTAATCTGATTCTTGCAACACAGGGCTACTTTGCACACTGGTCAATTCCACTAACAGAAATTGTTCTATTTCCACTCACTTCCTCTGTGCTCTTTGTTTTTTCTGCTCACTTATCATCAACCTCAGATCAAGCAAATGTTGATTTGCTGGGTCGTGACCACATTCAGGGAGCTAGCAAAAGGCTCATGGTGGTGCTGATATTTTGAATTACATAGGTGCTGTGTGGCTTTGCAACAAGATGTATCATAGGAGCCTCACACTGAGCTTGTGCAAAACTCTTCTCTTGATTCTCCCATTCATACCTAATTCTCCTTCAGTAGCCCACACCTTAAGGAATGGCTCCCCTAACATTCCAGGTGCTCATACCATAAACTGGAGCCATTCTTAATTTCCCTTCTCCTCTACCTATTACCTTCAATGGCTACTGGCGTTCTAGCTCCCAAACTGTGAAGTGAACTGTGTCCACTCTCTCCATCTCTGTGGTCATCATGTTAACTGAAGCCATGGTTGTCTTTCTCCTGAATTGCTGGCTAAGCCTTCTAATTGTTTTCCTGTCATTCCTTTGTATGCTCTTCTGTTATCTAATTCTAACAGCAAAGAGTATATTTTAGGAAGCATGTAAGTTTTGTCCATGCTGTACCTTTAAACTCTTACTTATTGCATTTCAAGTTGTCCCTTTGTGACTGCCCAGCCACCTCTCGAGCCACCGTAGTCTCACTGAAGATGCATCATCCCTGATGACTTTCTTTTGTTTCCTCTCAATGCCAATCTCTTTCCCGAATCAACCTTCACAGTTGATGATCTCTCTACCAGGGATGCTTTTCCCCATCCTCTTCATCTGCCAAATTCTCCTCTCCTTTCAAGTTTAAATTTACATGTTAATTTCCTCAGGGAAGTTTTCCTTGACCCCAGAGACTTAATTTAAACTGTTAACTAGTTTCTCGGGACTCTATAATCCTCCTTCAAAACATTTATTTAAATTGTAATTATACATTTATTATTTTAAGGTCTTTTGACAATGGCATCTACCTTTATATTGCTGCCCATTCTAATTATTCTTTTTTTCCCTTCTGTAATCTTAATAAAAGTAAGGACCTTGTCTCTCTTGTTTATCACTTACATCCCCAGCGCTTTGCATGGTGCATGACATTGAGTAGGAGATCAATTAATTGAATAAATGAATGAAGTACAAAGACATAAAGAGAAGAGACATTCCGTTTAATCCATGAGGGAAACAGTGTGCCAGTTAAAAAGCATTGGTATAATTAGAAAATAAAAGGAGCATATAATCGGCCCTTAAATGTGTGCTGGAGAGGAATTTAGAAATCAGCCCATTATTTTCAAAGGAGGAAACTGAGCCAAGATTGCTTGTGACTTATTCTGCTGTCACACAACGAATAGGTAACAGAATAATAGGCAGCCCGAGATATCCGGATTACAAGCCCTGTGCTCTTTTCAGTACACAATCCAGCTTTTGTAGCACCTGAGAATGCTAAATGAGAATAAAATAACTGGATTTTTTATGAAGTCCTTCATTTCCACAAGAATGTGGAGCGGGGCATCCTGAAGCAGACCCTATGTCAATTTAGCTAGGTGTTCTGGAAGCTCTAGTAGTATCTGACTCCATTTCAAAGGTGAGTTCCATGTGAATCCTCTTCCACTAACGGTTTTTTCCTCATACATTTTCCATCACTTAATATTTGCTGCTGGGCTGCTATTTGCATCAATGGCTTTTTAAATACATATTATCTATTAGGTGAATATGTTCTTCCTTTAATTGTTCTTAATTTGCACTGCTCAGGAAACAAAGGCTTAGAGAGTTAGTCTAGGAGTGTGGAAGGAGCATAGGTGTTAGATCCTGAGTTTGAATCCTTGCTCTGCCCTCCAAACACCAGTCCTTTCATCTCTAAATTGCAGGGACATTCGCGCCTACCTCCTAACTCAATTGTTGTAAGGTAAAATAAATTAATGTAGGAAAAAGCCTGACACATAGAAGCATAATCAATTAATATTAATTCTATTTCCAGCCTAGTATTCTAGATTTGGGGCACAAATTATTTTACTAATGTGTCTGATATTATTCTAGATTTTGATCACAAATCTTTGAGTTCAACCTTTTCAAATGGCAGGGTCCCAATCTCTTTAGGTTCTGTCTTGACAATGGCATCTGCCTTTATATTTCTAACCATTATAGTTGGGTTTTTTTTGGTATTATCTATGATTGATGCACCCTTATAATATATTACTCAGTACTCCAGGAGCAGGCCACTAAAGTTTAATAGGAGGTAGGTTAAAGTTTTCAGTGTCTTTGTGGATGGTTAATTACTATAAATATCAGAAGGAAAATTTCATAAAATTGATGAACTAGGGATTCATCCATTTATTTCTTAAGTTTTTATTCATCATCTATTTTGTACATAAATTAGGGCTGCCAGATTAGCAAACAAAAATACAGATGCCCAGTTAACTGAATGCCTTGCATTTTATTTGACAACTGTAACATAGATTTCATAGGGCTGATCTTTGTGGCGCAGTGGCTCATGCCTGTAATCCCAGCACTTTGGGAGGCCGAAGTGGGCAGATCATGAGGTTAGGAGATCGAGACCACCCTGGCCAACATGGTGAAACCCCGTCTCTACTAAAAATACAAAAATTAGCTAGGCATGGTGGTGCGCACCTGTAGTCCCAGCTACTCGGGAGGCTGAGGCAGGAGAATCACTTGAACCCAGGAGGCAGAGGTTGCAGTGAGCTGAGATCGTGCCACTGCACTCCAGCCTGATGACAGAGTGAGACTCCGTCTCCAAAAATAAAATAAAATGAAATAAAATTAAAAAATAAAGACAAAGATAAAAAAGAAAAAAATAAGATGTGGTCTATACACCAAGGGAATTTTTATGCAAGGTGAGAACATCAGCATAAAGTTAGAGATAGGTGGTAGAAAATGCATGGAAAGGGAGGGTTATATGTGGATGGCATGTTAGTTTCCCAGGGCTGCTATAACAAAATACCACAAATTGAGTGACAACACAACAGAAACCTATTCTCTCACAGGTCCAGAGGTTAGAAGTCTAAAATCAAGGTGTAGGCAGGGCTGATTTTTTCTGAGGTTGCTGAGAGAGAATCTGCACCATACCTCTCTCCTAGTTTCTGTCAATGGCCAGCAATCCTTGGCTTGTAGATGCACCTCTCTAATTTCAGCCTCTGCCTTCACATGGCATTCTTTCTTCATGTCTCTTCTCCTCTCTTTACAAAGCCAGCAATCAAATTGAAGTAGTGCCTACTCTAATGACTTCATCTTAACTTGATTACATCTGTAAAACCCTGTTTCCAAATATAGTCACGTTAGAAGGTCCCAGGAGTTAGGACTTGAACATATCTTTCTGGAGGAATCAAGCCAATCTATAACAGATGGTATGAGTATTTAATACCATAGAGCTGAGAGACAGGGCAATTTGTCGTGAGGTGGAATGATTAAAAACGCCCGCAGCAGTGTCAAGAATGAACAGAGCTGGACTTCAAAGGGTGGGTGGACATCGTTGGAGAGGAGGAGAAGGGCTTGAAGTAGATGATGAACAAGAGACTAGGGGAGAAACTCACCTTCTGGGGTCGAAGATACTTGCTGTAATTTACTAAGATCAATAACAAGCATGCTGAAAACTCTGAGAAAAGCAATAATAATCAAACTTCCTCAGCTCAGAAAAGCAACAGTGCCATTTTAAGGCAGATTTTATCGGTGTCCAAGATTCCTTTCATCTCTGAAGTTCAGGTTGCTCAGTGTTAATTTGGTTTTGGCACAGCCCCAGAGATACTAAAGGAACAAGCCTGGGAAATTATTACTGGCAATGTCTGGATTCCTGATGCACTGAGCCTGTTATACTAGAACCCAACTCGGGGGTTATATTTAAAATCAAACATTTGTATAAAATAAAGTGTGAATTGTAAGCAATCAGTACAGTTAGAATGTTATCATTATTTTGAGACAGGGCCTTAAATCAAACATTTATGTAAAGTAAAGCATAAATTGTAAGCAATTATTACAGTTAAAATGTTATTATTATTTTTCATTTTTTGAGACACAGTCTTGCTTTGTCACCTAGGCTGAACTACAGTGGTACAACCACAGCTCACTGCAGTCTTGACCTCCTGAGCCCAGGTGATCCTCCCACCTCAGCCCCATGAGTAGCTGGGACTACAGGCCTGGATAAGTTTTAAAATTTTTGTAGAGGCTGAGTTTCACTATGTTGCCCAGGCTGGTCCCAAAACTCCTGGGCTCAAGTGGTCCTCCCAGCTCAGCTGCCCAAATTGTTGAGATTACAGGTGTGAGCCACCACATCCAGCCAGAGTGTTATTTATTCTATAGGGATTGATTAAGCTTTCCAACTTTTTAGGATGTGTCCATTTCATAAAACTGATCTGAATGAAACAAAGACCAGAGAAGAGTTCTAAGCTTTGTTTATTGTGTGAGAAACCAGTGCAGAAGGCATGTTAAGCTGGATCTATAATGTTGTGAGTGTGTACCATGCTACAGAACACCATAGTCTATATCATATTTTCATATGGATGAACAATTTTCCTTCCCTCCTTGTTAAAGCAACCAAGTGAAATTCAATTTAAATAGCAATTCACAGAAGAAAAAGCCTAAAAGTAAAGGTACGAGCCACAAGGACCACAGTGGCTTTTGTTCCGTTGCTGAATATGAATGTAACTTCTTGCATTTTCAGTTATTAGTCAATTAAATAAACTTTATGTGAAGTTCATTTTATGTTGGTTTACCTTAGAATTGAGTACATTACTGAACTGCTATAAGGCTATAGTTTTCTTTTAGTTGATGTTTCAAAAAATTATTTGGGCCAGGTGCAGTGGCTCACACCTGTAATCCTAGCTCTTTGGGAGTCTGAGGTGGGCAGATGGCTTGAGCCCAGGAGTTTGAGATCAATCTGGGTAACATGGTGAAACCCCGTCTCTACAAAAAAATACAAAAATTAGCTGGGCATGGTGGTGTGAACCTGTAATCCTATTCGGGAAGCTGAGGTGGGAAGATCCCTTGAGCCCAGGAGGTCGAGGCTGCAGTGGGCTGTGATCATGCCACTGTACTCTAGCCTGGGCAACAGAGCAAGACCCTGTCTCAAACAAAAACAAAAACAAAAATCATTTGAAAAGGAAGAGGGAATCTAACAGTTGGGATGAACTCTTTTTGATTTACCATCTAGTTACCCCGTTCCCTGGTTGTTGCCCACTTGTAATCACTGAACAAGGAAGCTGGGCAAGTACAAGGAAGCATCGTGCAGGGAAGCTCTCACTTCCACTTCATTGTCACTTACAGTTCTGTGACATTTGTTGCCAGCAAAGATTTGGGTTTTTCAGGCTAATATCCACAGACCTATTTATTTCTTCCTAGTTACCTTCAGATTCAGATAAACTGCCAGAAGGCTGGGGTCTGGGAGACCAAAAAGCTCAGATTTACTCAGTGAGAAAACAAAGACTTGCCTGCTTTCTACTCAATGTGTCTTTTCTTAGAAAGTAAGTTTTTATTAAAGTGGTGAACATTAATATTTTAATCAATTACATTGCTGAAAATTATGAATAGCGTAGGGTAAATGTTAATCAATCAAGCAAGCAATCACAATTGCAAAGAAACCTAGGGCTGGTTACATACCTTGTTTGTAATCTGCAACTGAGACCAGAAAAGCGTCTGCTGCCTTGGTTCTTTCAGGGCATTAGTAAATCTGACTCAGTCGGACTCTCGGAGTTCTGGGACTCCCTTTGCACTGTAACCATTGGCAAAGCTCCTGGAGTCTTTTTTTTTTTTTTTTTTACCAGACACCTTTATTTAAACCATCTTCCTTTTGGAAAGAATGATTTTCCTGCTTACTGCTTATCATGTGAAAAGTGTTATTTGTCTTTCTAACTCTTCAGGACATCCTCAGGTTCCTTTCTTAGCCGCAACCTTACTAGCTCATGTGAAGACGTCACATCCCCAGGTTATTTGTGATAGATATGCACATAGCTGGCCTTCTTATCTGCAGAAAAAGAAATAGCTGCTCAGGATTGAAAAATAATTCTCTTTTCCTTACAGGACTGAAAAAACTTGTTTATTTTAGAACATCTTAAAAACATACAAAGGAGAAGGGAAAAACGACCCAGAGTACCATTACCTAAAGGCAATCATTATGAATATTTTAGTTTATATCCTTCCAATCTGATTGCTTTCTGTATATTTTATTTTGTAAAATAGTTGCACTTGCATTCTTTCTAAAATGGTGTGTGTGTGTGCATGCACGTGTATTGGCTGTTTGCTTTTAGTGCTATTCATCAAAAGTGATATAGCAAAATGGTCATAAATGTATAAATGTGAAGGCAGTGTGTGGGTTCAAATCCTGATTTCCCCATCTTTTCAAACTTGGGAATGTGATTCAGCTTCTTTAAATCTCTTTTCTCTCCCCAAATATGAGTATAACAATTATATGCACTTCAGGGAGCTATTAGAAAAATCCAATGAGTAAGTATGTTAAGCAATCACATATTATGTATACCTGACGTATAGCAGGTGCTCAATAAATGTTAACTCTTAACTTTCTCCTATCATAAAATATTCAGGAATGTAATTTTACATGACTGCATAAAATTTTATCTTTTGTACCTATTATTGTTTGGTTATCTATTCTCCTATCTTTGGACATTTATGTTGCTTACAGTTTTTTACCTCTATATATAATCTTGGAATAAATATCTTTGTATGAAAAGATTTTTCTGTAGTTCAGCTTATTTTCTGAATTATCTTAATTCCAAAAATAGAATGTCTGAGTCAAGCAAGATGAATATATTGTCAATTTCTTCATAAAGAGGTTGTCGTTATTTATATTTCCGTCAGCCTGGTATGAATAGGATCGTTTCACCATAGTCTTGCCAGCAGTTTGTGTGTGTGTGTGTGTGTGTGTGTATCTATATTATTTGATAGAAAAATTGATATCTCATTCTTTGATTGCTAGAGAGTTGTGGTGTTGTAGATATTTTTTAAAGAACTTGAACTCATCAGGAGTTTATTTGAGTACGGTGGAGTTAGAGTCTAAATTGATTTGCCTCAACCTAATGAGGCTGGAGTAATCTGTAGGCTCAACCAAACTGGAAGTTGCTCAGTCACATTAAAATTTTTTATAATAGCAACTTCAGTGATGTTGTCACTACCTTATACCTTGCTGTATCATATTTCCTAGCTCATACACCTTGCTTTGTCATATGTTTGATGAGTTAGATAACGTATTAGTTGAGTGTGGCCCATCCATTTATCCAAATACAATCATCTGAGGAACCACATTTCCTGACACTTCCACACTTTTGTAGCATCTCCCTGTATAACTCCTGGAATATGATGGAAGTGATGCCACATTGCATGCCTTTTGAGGCTAGGCATGAGAAGACTGGCAGCTTTCACCTTGGCATCTTGGAGCATATACGCATCCTGGTGAGGAGTTAGTTGTCACTCTGAAATTGCCATGAACTGAGAGATCCCAAGACAGTTATGTAGAGAGGTCATGTGGAGGGAAATGTCAGCTCCCAATTTGTCCAACTCCTCCATCTGAGGCTCCAGAAATGGGAGTGTAGGCTGGGTGCCATGGCTCACACCTGTAATCCCAGCACTTTGGGAGGCTGAGGCAAGTGGATCACTTGAAGTCAGGAGTTCAAGACCAGCCTGGCGAACACAGTGAAACCCCGTCTCTACTAAAAATATAAAAATTACCTGGGCGTAGTGGTGGGCACCTGTAATCCCAGCTACTACAGAGGCTGAGACGGGAGAGTCACTTGAACCCAGGAGGCAGAGGTTGCAGTAAGCCTAGATTGCGCCACTGCACTCCAGCCTGGGTGACAGAGTGAGACTCTGTCTCAAAAATAAAATAAAACGAAATAAAATAAAATAAACAGAAAGAAAGAGATGTGAGTGCAGAAGCCATGTTGGACATTCCAGTCTAGTCATATCTTTGGATAACTCCAGCCCTAGACACTATCTAACCATGACCACGTGAAAGACCAGAAGCAATAAGTATCCAGTGAGCCTGTGGGAGATAACAATAAATTGTTGCTTAAGCCACTAAGTTTTAGGATGGTTTGTTATGCAGTGATAGAAAACCAGCACAATGAATTAATACAGAGGAAGCACAGTTCTTTGGTTTGAAATATTTCTTCTTTGAAAATTAGCAGGAAGTAAACATTGGAGTTAATAATGATAGCTTTTACCAAAATAGAAAGATAGTCATAGAAGATAGCATTCCAAATTAATTGATGATGGGAGTGGAAAAGCAATATTGAGAAATATACAGGCATAGGTTTTACATGGGGTTGGTGGTAAAGAGAATTGAAAGAAGCCTGATAATGTGGCCACTGAGAGTCAACTGAGTATAGCATGCACGTCAAGGGCTGGGGTGACTTGGGGATTTGCAGGCCTAAGAGAAAAGATGTTCTGACAAAGGGCAAATTAATGGCTAAAGACTTTTTGCCTGGAAGTGTCTCTCTCTTGTTAGATTGATAGATTTTTCTTTCTGTCATACAAAGTATTAGAACGGCCAACTTTCACATTACACATTTCATAGTTTGGTGATTAGTAACATGATGCCTTTGTATTTTAGTGCCTATGGATTTTTAAAAAGTATTATCTTTGTGAGTTTTGGGGTGCATACTAACTCCAAATTTTATTATTTAATTTGCTTGAATTCTACTCTGCAAATCCACCATATGTAATTGGTAGTTAAGTTTGGGCTACATAGGTTGTGGCAGAATTTAATTGACTTAAACATATATAAAATGACAATATAAAGAGCTTTCATTTTATTTAGTGTCTTAGTCACCTTTTATCTTCTTTGTTAGCTTCCAAACCATATTGATTTTATGAGTGTCTCTGAGGAAGGTAGAATATGAAGTTTACGAAGAGGAAAGTCTCTTGCAGTAGTACTAATAAAACCATATGTAGGCCAAGGTTCTGGACGATTGAGGGGCCAGATCCACCTCCCTGGAGCTTTCCTTGAGGGATGCAATCCCAGTATAAAAATTGGTGTTGAGACACCTTTGTTCTTGACACTGAATATATTGCCAATTTTGTTCCACTTCTAATTTGCAATCGAAGTCATCTGTTGCCCCAGTGCAGGCTGTTTATTTTTTTTAAAGAGTTTTGTTAAGATTTTTACTACATGGACTTAATTATGTAATTACATAACAGATCTGGTAACTGCTTCAAAGGAACCATTCTAATCTATGAGGTACCTAAGATAGTCTTTAAAGAACATCTAATTACATAATTACAATGCCTAACAGACCAGAATAACAGGTAGCAAGAATATCTTTGGAGCCATAAGAGAAGCTCTGTGGCCTTTAGGGTATATAATATCAGTTATGAAAATAACCCCATCACTATGTCATTATGTAACAGCACATAATGGCAAAGAAGGTATTAATGCTGGATATAATAAATAGATGCATTTTGCTATAAATGACTTTCTTTAATTTTCAAAAAATGTGTAGAAGCAATTGAAAATATCTTAAACCATGAGACAGAAAAAACTATGACATTTTAGATACAGGATGGCAGTGACTTTTGAAAGCAAAATTTAAAGAGATTGAAGACATATTGAAATAGTTATAAAAGTAGGCATATTAATGTCAAAACCACAAAATGCATTTAAGGTATAAAAGACAGAAAATTCAAAATATTATATTCATATGTTTGAAACTGGCATGCTATGTTTTCTAAGTAATAGTGAAAAAATCAAGAATGAAACTAAAACATGTTAGAGTCTTGAAATACTATGAATACTAGGTGTTAAAGGCTCTGTTAAAATCTGAGGAGTGAATCAGAAAAAAGAGCAAATTTTAATCAAGGCCCATGTTCAAATATTTTAGTGTTGGCAATATTATTCTGTGATATCTATTGGGAAATATACAAGAAAAACGAAATTTTATGAGTTTATAAAACTCATAAAAATCTGTCTTAGTTTTATGAGCAAGAGGCTTTGTTATTATTGTTGTGTGTTTTAAAGGATACATTTTACAAAAAAAAGCCCCAAATATGTAAAAGTATTACATATTGAGTATTCGTTACCCACTAAAATTTTATACCAAAGTTCACGATTCTGAGACCACTGGTATGTAGAAAAATACTTGGCCTCTGTAAACGAACATTTCAAATGTTTCACTGACCAAGAGCCAACAATTTTGGGAAAATTTTAAAGCCAATTTTATGATAAAAATTATGTGAGTTTTAGTCATGACAAATATTTAAACAATGCACATTTAAACAATACACTCTTTATTCACCTAGGAACCGTTAGGATAATATAGTTAAAGTGTCTACATGCTTTTGCATTGTATCTTGTTAAAAAAAGCCAAGTTTTGCTTGAGATATATAAACCTACTGTCCTTACATATCTTTCTTCCCCAACAGAATTTGAGTGGCATTCAAAACTCACAATGTTGCAATGAGCTCTGCACTTGGGAATATTCATATTTATAATCTGTATATTTTAGCCAATATGGTTTTTTGTTTTATGAGGCCTGGAATATTTTTTCAATTCAATATCAATCTATTCTTCAAGATGGACATGAGATATAATATTTTATATATGCTAGCCCTACTTTGTGAGATAATACTTAATGGTCTTCTCCTCCATCAATCTCTCCAAATGCAACACAACCACCACTATAAGCATAAGAAAATATCCTGTATACAGTTCAAAATCATTCCTTTTCAAAATTCAAGGTAAGAGATTTCTAAATATGGCCATGACGAAATAACAGGATTTACTCTCCCACCTTAGCCAATTAGGAAGCTAGACAAAATATATAAGGAAATTATTTTTAGACATTACGTGATAGACAGCACAGGTTTATTAGCCCTGATTACAAGGTAAACTATATAATTACTCCAGTTTTCTACCTAGAGGCTGTATTCCCTCTGCTGTGCAGGGAGAGAAGAAACAAATTAAAAACAAGGAATCTCACTGAGTTTTAGAGACATTGATTGTAGTTCAGGGAGACATTGGTGGAGCACAGGGAGCTTCACAAAGACAGAGCTTGGAAGATATGCAGAGGTGTCCCTTTGAGTCTTTGGTGGAGTACTGATTTGCTCATGCATGAGAATAAATGATCCAAGGCTGGATATACGTAGGCTGGACATTGGAACTGAGTAGGCTGAACAATTCCTGAAGCTAATCACAGGCTGGAAATATATTCTCTTCCTGTCAGCAAGAGCGGAGGGATTTCATAATAAATGAGGCATTGAGTAGACTATTCGGAAGGCTAAATTATCCCTAGAATAAAGGCTGCTCTTGACGTGACCTAACACAGCTTAAAAGCAATGCTATGCAGAAACAAAGCAATCCCAAATATCCCAAATAGTCTGACTGCTTCCCAGACAAAAAAGTCAATACCATTTAAAGGAATGCAACAAAATCTCATACCCAACAACATAAAATTTACAGTGTCCAGTATCCAAAAGAGTACTGCCAGACATACAAAGAATTAGGAAATTATGACACATAACTCAGAGAAAAATTAATTGATAGACTTAGACCCAGAAATAAGTGAAATTATGAGATAGCAGACAAAGATGTTAAAATAACTATTATAAATATACTCTGTATTCCTGAAGGTTTGAGAACAGCATAAGTATAATGAGGAGAGATATAGAAGATATAAAATGACAAATAAAACTTCTAAAAATTAAAACTAAAGTGCTTGGAATAAAAAAATACACTGGTTTGGATTCATGGCAGATTAAACCTTGCAGGGAAAAAATCAATGACTTTGAAAACATAGCACTAGAAAATCTCCAAAATAAAGCAGAGAGGAAAAAAGAATTAAAGAAAAATGAACAAAGCATTAGTAACCTTTGAGGAAATATCAGAAAGTCTGACATAGGAGTAATTGATATACTAGAAGTAAAAAAAGAAAAAAGGGGGATGGAAAAAATATTGAAGAAATAATAGGCAGACTATTTTCAAATTTGATAAAAATTAGAAGACCACAGATTGAAGAAGCTCATTGCACTCAGAGTAGAGGAAGAAAGAAAAATAGCAGGACACATAATAATCAAACTGCTGAAAACTAATGATGAAAAGGAAATCTTAAAAGCAGCCAGAGAAGAAGACATAAAGAACTAAAGATAAGGAAGACAGCCAACTTATCACTAGAGGCTACAAAAGCCAGAAGACAATGGAGCACTTTAACCTTGATTGGCTAAAGCCACATAATAATTATCTTGCCTCAGTTTTTAATCATTATTGTTTGGAGTATAAGTGGGTTTTTCACTTCTTAATCAATGTGTTTAACGAGTATGGCTTTATTCCTTTTTTTATTTTTTATTTTTTTGAGATGGAGTCTCGCTCTGTCGCCCAGGCTGGAGTAAAGCAGTGCAATCTTGGCTCACTGCAAGCTCCACCTCCCGGGTTCACACCATTCTCCTGCCTCAGCCTCCCAAGTAGCTGGGACTACAGGCGCCTGCCACCACACCCAGCTAATTTTTTGTATTTTTAGTAGAGACGGGGTTTCACCGTGTTAGCCGGGATGGTCTCGATCTCCTGACCTCCTAATCTGCCCGCCTCAGCCTCCCAAAGTGCTGGGATTACAGGTGTGAGCCACCGCGCCTGGCCTATTTCTTTTTTTAAAAATAAACTTTATTAATTAGGGCAGTTTTAGATTCACAAGAAAATTGAGCAGAAGGTACAGAAAGTTCCCATCTATCCCCCATACCTACATACACACAGCATCCCCCATTATCAAAATCCTTAGCTGAAGTGGTACATTTGTTACAATCAACCTACATTGTCACCTAAAGACCACAGTTTACATTATGGTTCGCTCTTGGTGTTGTACATTCTGTGAATTTGGAAAAACAAAATTACATGTATACACTATTATAGTATCAAACAGAGTTGTTTCACTGCCCTGAAAATCCTCTGTGCAGGGTCTATTCATCCCTTCTCCCTTAACCCCTGACAATCACTGATGCTTTTACTGTCTCCATAATTTTGCCTTTTCCAGAATGTCATACAGTAGAAATGATATAGTAGAAATGATGCATCCTTTTCAGATTGGCTTCTTTCATTTAGTAATATACATTACGGTTCCTCCATGCCTTTTAATGGCTTGACAGCTCATTTCTTTCTTTTTTAATGTACAAATACTTTAAATTAGCACACATGTAATTTCAATGTCCAATAAGTTCTGTCCTGATTCCTTTCCACAAGATTTTTAAAATAGGTTTCCCTTCCCTTCTCTTCCCTTCCCTTCCCTTCCCTTCCCTTCCCTTCCCTTCCCTCCCCTCCCCTTACCTTCCCTCCCCTCCCCTTCCCTCCCCTCCCCTCTCCTCTCCCATCCCCCCCTCCCATCCCATCCCACTCCCCTCCCCTCCCCTCCCCTTCCATTCCCTTCCCTTCCCTTCTTCTTTTTTTGGAGCAGTTTTAGATTCACAGCAAAATTGAGTGGATGGTACAGTGTTTTCCCATGTATTTACTGCCACCAAATATGCACAGCCTCTCCCACAGCTAACATCCCGTTCAGAGTGATATATTTGTTACAATTGATAAACCTACCCTGACACATCATTATCACCCAGACTCAAATTATTTACTGTATTTCTGCTAAAATATGCCTTTAATGGTTATATAGTGATTATTTGTCCCTAATACTATATTTATAATAAAGTTATCTATTTTAATATCACCAACTTCTATTTTGAATAGTATTTGTCTTACTTTTTAGTATTTTATTTCTATCCTTTCTATATGGTTATGCTTTAGGTGTGTCTCCTTTAATAACAAAGAGTTGAATTTTGTGTTTTTAAATCTATTCAGGCAATTCCAGTTTTTTTTTTTAATTTAGTGGGTTTAGTCTATTTTTATTTATTGTGATTAATGATATATTTGGATTATCACTATCACCTTGCATTTTTTCCTATGCTTTTTCTACTCCTTTAATTTGGACTCATGAAACACACCCTCTCTACTTTCATCTACTGGTTTAGAAGTAATACATTCTATTTCTAATGTTCAATGCTTGTATTACATTTTTAATTTAGATATTTGTCTTAAAAACAACCCACGCTGGTCACCTTCTCCTGTTTTAAGTGTCTTTATTTTTCATTATTTTAGTTCTGATTACCCTTTATCCCAAGTGTAGTCATTGTTATGCTTATTTCTTAAATGTACAGTTGATGTTTGTTGAGATTTAGGTACATGTTACTGATTTTTTTTTTGCCACCTTGTACTTACATCTATGAAAATTCTGTGAGGTTGCACAGTGGTAGGCAGCAGCATTCACACTGCATACTTTCTGAAGGGTAGCACCCAGAGCTGTGCCTCGCAGCAGCACAGACATCAGTATTCCCTTCTAGGTTCTATTTCCTTGTTTCTGATGTAGAGATTTTAGAAGTTTCTTAAGCGAGGGTGTGTGACGGTACATTTTCTGTTATTTTTCTTTATTTTGTTGTCTTTCTTAAGTAAGAGTTTAGCTTGGTATGTAATTTTAGGTTGAGATCGATTGACATGCTGAAAATTATTCTACTGTCTTCTGGCTTTTGTTGTTACTTCTTGAAAAGTGTGTCACTAGGTTTTTATCATTGGTTTGAAATTAAACTCCGATTCTCTTTCATTGCTACCAAGACTCCTTCTGTTCTATGTTTTACAGATTCTCTGTGATGTTTGTAGGTATGAATTCATTCTTACATATCTTATTCAAGATCTGTTATGTTTCTAAATATGAGAATATCTGCCTTATGTCAATTCTTCAAAAATTTTAGTGATTATCTCTGTATTTTCCTCATTTTTTGTATACTCTGTTTCTACAACATTTAATGTACATGGGGGCCATCTTGTTTTATTCACCATATTTATTATATTGTTCATCTCTTTATCTCTCTAAATTGCTATTTGACCAATTTCTTCCTCTGCATTTTCCAATTTGTAAGTGATTTCTTCAGCTGGATCTATTGTGCTAACTCATCTATTCAACTATTTCAAAATGTAATTCACTTAATTCTAGTTCTGTTTGATACATTTTCAAATCTCTTTTTAGGTACTCACTTGCCTCTTTCTTTTTTAATTCATGTTTTAATTTTACTAATGTTAATGGTAAATATCAATATTAGTAATTCCACATTTGAAGTTTTAGGAGATCCAATACTACTGTTGTTTCTATTCTTTTTTGTACATGGTGGTCTGTATGTTTTCTAATTTTGAATAGGGAGCTTATATCCATAAGTTATCCATGAGAATTCTCTGAACTTGGGTTAGAGGGTACATCTCTCCAGAGAGGATGCACATTTGCCTTTGCCAGACCCTGGGGTGCTACAAATCTAGGACTACTAGATTAATTCCTTGCCTTAGGGTTTTTAAGATCATGCTGACAGTCTGTACTTTAGCCCCAAACATGCATGTTTCAAATGATCGAGGAGATGATTTTTATCTTACATTGATTCCATGATGAGACAGAACAGTTATTTTTACCTTTTTTTTTCCTAGTGGGAAAATATTTCTCCAGCTAAATTTTGACTAAGGGTGTGGCCTCCTGAAGTTTTGGATTTATTCTGGTAGTAGGTAGTTTCAAGTCACTAAGTTGTGTGAGCCCAAGCATTACTATCACGTCATTACAATTCAAGTCTCCTGACTACTGAGATTAACAAACAGCCCCAAGGAAGTCAACGTTTTACAGCCTGCTAAATACTCTGGTTTTAGCATCCTCATTCCTTATGCTCAGTTGCACATTTATTTATAAGGATGTTTGTTATGTTTATCCCCTAGCAAGTTTAGTTTCTTTGTTTGTTTATTTGGCATAGAAAAATATCTAGTCTGTCAAAAATCTGAAAATAAAAATGCTGCTGAAGGTCTTGAAAACTTTAGAGATCAAATAAAATCTAATCATGGGAATGATTGATTTATGAAAATTAATAAACAAAGAAAAAGCATTCTCTAGGTTTCTAATAGATTAACCTGTGTCAGTTCTAAAGAGTATTATCAACAAACTGTCAAAAGATTAGTAGAAAATAAGCAGAAATTATTAGGGTTCAGAATGAACTTATTAAAATTAAGTTATAAGATAAATATCATTTTTGGACAAGGTCACTCATTTAATAGAGCACCGGATAATAGCGTTGTATCTACAATATTTAGCAACAAAGAGAATTGAAAAATGTAATTGAATGAGTAAATATGGGTTATTGGATTGATATTATGTATCTCAATTTGAGCAAGGCTTTTGAAAAGAAGTCTCATGCAGTCTTAATGGATGAGGTGCAGTGTAGCAGATGTTGGTCCCCTGTCCATATCCTCTCAGCACTCAGCATTCTCATAGCTCATTACTCCAAGCACCTGCCACTTTCTGCCTGAGGACTTCTCTGTCCCCGAAAATGTGCTTGGCTCATGTACAGACCTGGGAGTTAACACCCCTGTGAACAGCATTCAATCATTGAGAGGAGAATCAGTGGATCCATACCTCAGCTTCCTCTTCATCCCTCCACAGAGCATCCCCTGTTGGTTTCCTTCTTTCCTTTCCCTGCCTAACTTCCCATTCTCCTCCATCAGCACTTTCTGAGAAAAAACCTCCTAAGCAAACGACCTTTCTTCAAATCCTAGTCTTACAGCATGCTTCTTGGGGAGCCCAGTGTAACACATGGAGAATTATGGACTAGAATCTAAAACAAACCAAATTGTTTCATAAATCGAGTAAAATAGTTTCATAACCCAATGATTGCTACTTGGTTTATGTAAGTCAGAAGGAATGTTTCTAATGTTACACTGGGAGGGTATTTTTTCCTTATCTTTCTCAGTCTCATCAACACTTGAATAAAGATGTAGAAAGTTTTGTAATGAGTTTGGAGATGACATAGTATTGGTGTAGCGGGTGATGTAGTGAATATATTAGATGATGGAATCAGGACTCACACAATTTTTAATAAGCTAGAAAATGGATAAGTATAATAAAATTATATTAGTGGATTAAGATATTGCAATTGAGTATTCTCAAATGTGAAACATTATTTTGTGATAACGTTTTAGAGGTATTAATTCACAATAAACCAGGTTAGTTAACATGATGCATGGCTGATAAAAAAGCAGATGTGATTTGGGGTTAGATTAATAAAGTAGTAACTAGACCAAAGAAAGTGATAATTATGTTTAAATGATAATAAACCGACAATAGCATCTAAACATTATGCTTTTTCTAAAAAAAAATTCAACTTTTATTTTAGACACAAGGAGTATGTATGTAGGTTTGTTCCATGGGTATATTCCATCCAGGAAGTGCGCATGGTACCCAATAGTAGTTTTTCAACCCTTGTCCCCATTCCTACCTTCCCCCTCTGGTAGTCTGAAGTGTCTGTTTTTCCCATGTTTACGTCCATGTGTGCTCAACGTTTAGCTCCCACGTATAAGTGAGAACATGCGATATTTGATTTTCTGTTCCCGCATTAATTCACTTAGGATTATTCCCTCCATGTGCATCCATGTTGCTGAAGAGGATACATTTTTATTTTTATTCTTTTTTATGGCTGCATAGTATTCCACAATGTATATGTACCACATTTTCTATATCTGATCCATTATTTATGGGAACCTAAGTTGATTCCATGTCTTTGCTATAGTGAATAGCATAGCAATAAACATACAAGTGCATATGTCTTTTTTGTATAATGGTCTATTTTCCTTTGAATATATACACCCAGTAATGGGGTAGCTGGGTCAAATGGTAGCTCTGTTTTAAGTTCTTTGAGCAATCTCCAAACTGCTTTCCACAGTAGCTGAACTAATTTGCATTCTTACCAACAGTGTATAAGCATTTGCTTTTCTTTGCAACCTCACCAGCATTTGTTTTCTTTTTTTTTTTTTTTGACATTTTAATAATAGCCATTCTGACTGGTACAAGATGATATCTCATTGTGGTTTTAATTTTCATTTATCTGATGATTAGTGATGTTGAGCATTTTTTCATATATTTGTAGCCTGCCTGTATGTCTTCTTTTGAAAAGTATGTCTGTTCATGTCCTTTGCCTATTTTTTTAATGGCGTAATTTGTTTTTTACTTGTTGATTTGTTTAAGTTCCTTATAGATTCTGGATATTAGATCTTTGATGGATGCATAGTGTGTGAATATTTCCTCTCATTCTGTAGGTTGTCTGTTGATGGATAGTTTCTTTTGCTGTGCAGAAGCTCTCTAGCTTAGTTAGGTCCCACTTGTGAATTTTTGAACATCATGCTTTTGATAGGATAGAAACAATCTCCTGAAGACTAGAGAAAGGAGGTTGGAGACATTTGGAAATATTGTATGAAAAAAGATGAACTAAATATGGTCATTTAGCATTAGGAAAAGAAGAATTAGAGAAGCGTGTCTTCTACAGCTTAAAGATCTGACCTGTGGGAGAGAAATCAGACATGCCAGAATCATCTTTAAAGTCATTCATGTCTATATGCCCAGGGTCTAATCCAATGCTTTACATATAGTATGAGCTCCATAAATGTCTGTTGGATGAACGAACGATTAATGACACTACATATTTATCTCATTTAGCTGAGAGAGGACAGCTACTTTTTTCATTTTCCTGTGTCTATCCATCTTTTTTATCTGTCTCATATTTGAAGCCATTCTGTGGATGGTGAAGTCATATGCAAGCCAAATTTTCTGTCCTACGCAGAATCTCCACGTAATCATAATTCTGTACGTGCAAACTATGAAGATAATGATATTGAAGCCTCTTCGTAAATATAGCCCCTAGTTTCTCAGTCCCTTTCATATGAACTGTCCTTGTGTTCATTATCTATAGCAGTGACAAACATCTGTGGTAGTATTTGCTTCAGTCTCTTGTCCTGGCTGTTTTTTTTCCCCCTCTGTATTCTATTTGGGTTATCTCATACTTTAATCTGCTTAAATCTTCTTAATATATCAGTCAGATTTATGATAGAAAGGGATAAGTCTACTGACTTCTGTTATCCCCTGCTCCAAGATTTTCCCTTTATCCCAATTACTTTATTCTTTTTAAAGAACATATGTCAGGTTGTAAATTAGATGAAATTAGATAATGAAAACTATATAAAGAGCTTCTTTGTGTTTGAGCGTTTGGGGGTCCTCTTATCTAGTCCAGTGGGATAACTAGTTTTTTGAATTTTCTTTTTACAGATATGACTGTCTTGAGCACATACGTGCTTGCTTGCTGTGGACTTGGGAGAGAGCTGGCTTCTCTTGGGCATGCTTCATATTCTGCTTTGATGGCCCTTCCTCTCAAAAGCTTGTCCCGTTGTGACTTTCTCCATGAGCTTAGCAGCATCTCTGGAGGGCTCCTCAGCACTGCCTCTTGTTGCATCAAGGTTTGCATCCCATTGTTGTGTAATGTCTTTTTACTTGTCTGCACATCTACCAAACAGCAAAAGTTATATTCTTAGGTTTAATTCTGTGCCTCCTATATAATAGGCACTCATTCACTACATGATGAGTGTTTCTTTAGAGTTTATCAAAAGGTACCTTTGGCTGTATGAAAGTGTTATTATCCTATTTGTAATATTATTTCTCATTTTTTTTATGTCTTATCATAGTTGGACTCCAAATTATAACCAGTCATATCCCTAAATTATCATGTATGTTTTGCAAATGGTTTCACAATTCTTTGTATTTTTAAGGAGTTGACCCACTCAAAATATTTCAATTTTTTTTTAAGGAATTGATCCACTCAAAATAGTTCAAAAACAATTTTCTTAAAGAAAACTAGACTTGGAAATGTCCCCTGTCCCTTTTAATAGCTATGTTTAGATGTGATGTGTGACCTGGGACAAATTAGCGAACCTCTGTGGACCTCAGTCTCCTTACCTGAAAAAGAAGAAAGGACTGGATCATCTCTAAGGAATTTTCAAAAGAAAACATTAATTCTGTGATGGAGAAAAGTCTCAAGTAAAACCTTTGTATTTCCTCGCCCTCTCCTTTCCACTCCCTGCAAAGACACCCTGATCCTTTCTCCTTTTCTTTGGGCCTGATTGTCTCTTCTTGTTTATAGCTGCCACTAATTTGCTCGTTTGCTTGCTGGAAAATAGCTAATTAAAACCCACTTCAGCTAACAAGCTGACTGGGACCATGCAAATGTCACTCTCTGCTGTCTGCTATTTCCTTTTATACTTTACATTATTAGTGTTGTTTTTCCTCTCTCTGTTATAATGAATGCAAGGATAGATTTAGCGCCCTCTTCACAGGTGTGCACTGGTACAACAGCCTCCATCCCAGGGAAGTGTGGCTGCTTTACTGCACTTCAGCACTTTGAGTGTTATTACCCCTGACAGTTAATGGTTTCAGACTACATTGCTTGTTAGCTAGATTTTTGAACAGCTTCATCTATCTTTTTGTTTTTACAGTGACTGGCCACATTAAGTGTATGTGTCTGAGCTATTAGTCCCGTCTGTTCATCGCATGCATTTCATTTGGTTTAGGGTTCTTTTCTTCTCTCTAAAATTAGTACGTATTGTCATCCATATACTTCAACACATCGACTTTTGTTATAAGTACGCTGTCATCATTGTGCTTCCACACATTTGCTAATTTATTGTCGCTAAATTAGACCTAATATTAGCAATTTTGCAGCTGTTCCTTTAGAACATACATGGCCATATATTTGTATGCTAGTTGGTAATTATATTTCTCAGCAAAAGAATGGACCACATTTTCAGGAGGGAAAGAATGGGAAAATGGGAAAAAGGAGATTACATCAAAACAAACTCACCTGAGAGTGGAAAAGAGAGCAAGGAAATGGAGAGAAAAATGCATTACAGAAAAGAGTTAAGGGCAGATTCCAGAGTAAATTAACAGCAGCAAATGCTTATGCAGGGTTGCACAATTCAAAGAGCTTGTGTAGTAGGTCTGACACTGGCAAAGAAGAAAGCATCTCTGGGCAGAGACTTTCTCTACTATATTCTGTTACTGTGAATGTACTACCACAAAAAGTTGATGGTAGGCTCTTAAGTGAACTGCAAAGGAAAGGAGAGGAGTACAGGCTGTATGGATACTTCCACGAAAATGTGGTATACAGTCTATTGACGTACAAAGCTTAAGTGCTTTGGTTTGAATATGTGCCCGAATGGGAGAATGTGAGGATAAGAAAATGAGAATTTTTTAGATTTTTATTTTGTTTAGAATGATGCAGTTTCCTGCTTTGTTTACATCTGGAGATGACATTTGAAGGAATATGAAAAAGCTGTTTTCAATATGTGCCTAGTATGTTGTATGTGTATGTGTGAGTAGGTGTGAATATTTTGTATTTTAGTTTGGTTATGAGACTTTAACATAATACAAGCACCTAAAATTATGCAATGCCAGTTTTGATATAATGTATGACACAAGGTGAATGATCAACAAGACAGATTCTCCTAGGACAATACGCTGCCTTGTATGAGTGGTTGAGTATTTTGTAAAGCCACCTGGGTACTGTTTAATATATTGAGTTGGAAATTCATCTAAGGAGACCCTCATGGTCTAAAAGAATTAATGAGAATTCTCAGAGTACATGGATCTATTCCTAGAAGGTAACTTACTAGAAGAACCTAGCTCAGTAAGTATTGGTTGTTATGGATACTGTTCTGTTGTAATGGGTCTAAAACATTGTGTACAGTGATTTGAAACAAAATAAAACAAAACTTATAATGGTATTCATGACTTGACCTTGAGAGTATATCTTAGGCATGTTCTGTTTTCTTGGGAGTAATACCCTGCATGGTATATTAGAGGTTTGGTTGTACCAACCCTCTTAGATATATATATTTTCATTCTCTTTGGGTCATAAGAGATAGATTTTCATCACTGACTATCCACCAATCTGACTGCCCTCTTCTGCTTCTTCCTCAATAGAGCTGAATATCTCATTTCTCTTTTCTTCAACTAATGAAATCCTATTCTTCAGCTCTTAGAAAGCAAAGCAAGTCAAAATGGCTAAAATATATTGCAGCATACTCCTCCCTGAAATCTTATATTTTTATAGGAAACTCCCTTAAACTTAAAAAAACTTTGATGTTTTGCTAGTGGAAATAGAGGAGAATCAATTGGTGGGGAAGCAAAAATTTGGGGAGAGCTCATGAAAGCAATGCACAAACTTAACTTTTTTCCTTTAAAAGGGTAATAGTCTTACTGGAACTTGCAAGAGTAAACATATCCTTAGCCGCACAGACCATGGGGGAAGATCTCAATTGAGATGTAAGACAATGTTGATTTAATACCTAAGAGGTTGAGAGTCAAAGAGATAGCAAACATCCAACAGCATCAATAGAAAATGAAAAATAAAAACAAAAAACAAAAAACAAAAACAACAACCAAAAACCCAAAACACACCAACAGTGCATAAGGCCCTCTGCATGCCTTGGTATTGTCCCTCTCAACTTGCCTTGGGTTGAAGCACCACTGCGAGATGTTCTTTGCATGAGTAGCTTCTTGCGTACAAAGTTCAAGTAGAATTAAAATGATAGGAGATGGCCATTCTCCTGATAATCCTCTACAGAGTCTAGGCCCTTGTCTCACAGGAATCCACTACCTCAGCTTAGCTTTGTCCATCAGGGGCAGTTGGTATTGAGCACTGACTCTATCACCTGTATCAAGAATCTAAAACAAAATAAAATTTTCCTTCCTCACCCTGCCCCCACACAGTTCACCTACTCAGGTTCATAGAAACAGGAGGATATTCTCAGTTGGTTTTTTTGCCCTAATCTATTTGGCTCCAGGTCAAGCTGCTTACCCAGATAACATGGCAAGAGAAAGTGATTGATGAAGGCAGCATCTGAGTCCATTTTGTGTGGCTATATAGGAATACCTGAGGCTGCATAATTTATAGAGAAAAAGTTTATTTGGCTCTTGTTTCTGATGGCTGGACAGTTCATGATTAGGCATCTGCATCTGGTTAGGGCCCCAGGCTGCTTCCACTCAAGGTAGACGGTAAAGGGGAGCTGGATTATTCAGGGATCGCATGGTGAGAGAGTGAGCAGGACAGAGGAGGGAGGTGCCAGGCTGTTTTTAGCAATGAGCTCTCCTGGGAACTAATAGGGTGAAAATGCACTTACCCGCAAGGGAGGGCATTAATCTATTCATGAGGGATCCACCCCCAGGGTACAAAAGTTCTCACACTAGGCCCACTTCCCACATTGGGATCAAATTTCAACATGAGATTTGCTGAAGGCAAACAAACCATATCCAAACTCTAGCAAGCAGATAGTAGACTTCGAGATCTGGCAAATTTGGAGTCTAAGCCCCATGAAGGAGCCTACATTCTCAATCAATCAGACAGAGACAGCGGGAAAAAAAGAAGTCATCCATCAGAGTTTCACTGAAACTCCTTCCTTCCCTCCTTCCTTCTCTCCTCTTTCTTTCTTTCTTTCTTTCTTTCTTTCTTTCTTTCTTTCTTTCTTTCTTTCTTTCTTTCTTTCTTTTTCTTTCTTTCCTTCCTTCCTTCTTTCATTCTTTTTCTTTCTCATTCTTCTTTCTTTCTCTCTTTCTTCCTTCTTTCTTCCCTCCCTCCCTTCCTTCCTTCCTTCTTTCCTTCCTTCCTTCTCTCTCTCTTTCTTTTCCTTCCTTCCTTCCTTCTTTCTTTCTTTCTTTCTTCCTTCCTTCCTTCCTTCCTTCCTTCCTTCCTTCCTTTCTTTCTTTCTTTCTTTCTTTCTTTCCTTCTTTCCTTCTTTCTTTCTCTTTCTTTTTCTTTCTTTTCTTGTTCTTTCCTTCCCCTCCCTTCCTTCCCTCCCTCTCTCCCTTCCCTTCCATTCCCTTCCTTCCTTCTCTTTCTTCCTTTTCTTTCTTTCCACAGGGCCTTGCCCTGTTACACCACAACTGGAGTGCAATGGTTCTATCATAGCTTACTGCAGCCTTGAACTCCTGGGCTCAAGGGATCTTCCCACCTCAGCTTCCCAAATTGCACTACCATGCCTGGCTAATTTATTTTTATTTTGTAGATGTAAAGTCTCACCATGTTGCTCAGACTGGTTTTGAACTCCTGGCCTAAAGCAATTCTCCCTCCTTGGCCTTCCAAAGTGTTGGGATTACAGGTGTGCACCATCTCACCTGGCCTGAAACCCATTTCCGTTTGACTCTATGACTGTGCTGCTTCTTTATCCGAGGTTGTGTGGCATGGTGTATTGTGTGGTGACCAGAGCCACTTTAACAATTTCTTTCAGATGATATGGCTCTAGTTTTTGGTTTGGTTCCCTACTATGCTAACTTTGCCAATTTTGGTTTGCTTTTATGTTTATTGATAGGTTCATTACTGGGTTTAAATTCTATTTAACTCTGGGTAGAATTAATCCATCTAATATTTATTCAGCAACCACTAAATGCCTGGCCTTTGTAACTCATATGCAATTATGACATACCAACAGAAAATCAATGTTTGAAGTGCTCAATATTTTATTGGCTTCATTCACAACTTTTAATTTTTCTGCCTTCACATTATTTAAATGGGCAAATACACTCATCAGGAACCTTAATCATAGTATGTACTGTTTTTCCATAAAGAATAGAAGTGGAGAGTGGGGCAAAGTATTTCACCCTAGTGTGATTCAGAATCTTCTTGGGCTCAAGAGAATGACATGTGATTCAGAATCTTCTTGGGCTCAAGAGAATGACATGTGATTCAGAATCTTCTTGGGCTCAAGAGAATGCCACTGCCTCTACCTCCAATTCTTAACATCATGCCAGAGATTTTGATTCATCTTTCTACAGCTTACAATAGGTATGTCCTTTCTTTTCATTTTGATAATCATAGCACTCTAAGATGGCCACAAATAAATATGGACATCAGTAAGATTAGCATGTTTGTTATTTTAACAACGAGCAAACAAACAAAGCAAAACAAAATATTACCTTGCATAGTCACCAGGCATGAGGAAAGCAATGTAATTGAATGGATCACTCAATGAGTGAGTTTTAAACTGAGATGAAGCGTAGAAAATAAGACAATTGGAGTCCTTGTAGCTGTTGCAGTAAGGACTCTTTGAAGCCCAGGGGGACATGGATGCTTAGAAGCTGGGCAGATGAGCTGAAACAGGAAGGAAAACATTTTTGAAAGCTTATAGGACCAAGTAGATTAGGCCTCATCTTTAGCTATAAGTCATCTCTATCTTCAGTAGAGTGTTTTGTGGGAACCTAGCTCCTGAAATTCTACATTTGGCCCCTTGGGCCTATTGTCCCAAGTATTGTCTCTCACTGTTTGTGTGTGTGTTTGTGCTTGCATGAGAGAGAGAGAGAGAGAGAGAGAGAGAGAGAGAGAGAGAGAGAAACGTGTCTAAAACTGTGCATATGCATATGTAGAGAGGCTCAAGATTAGCTAAGAACTTTCTCACAGAGATCAACATGCAGAAATTAAGATGCAAGCTCACATAAGACCCCCAAACTCAGGACTAGTCAAAGGCTAAAAGCTATTTGATCTTTAGATTTTCAGATATCTTCCACAATGTCTTAGGTTATAAGGCAAAACTTCAATACTCACATTCACTGTAAGATGTTACCATAAACAGTGCTTCTCAGACTTTTCTACTGAAGTAATCTTGAAGAATTCTCAATGGCAGAGAAAAGGGAGCAAAGAATGGGAGCTGGTTGCAGTCAGATACCAGCTGCTACAGAGATAAAATATATTTTTGGAGACTAATATTTTATCTTAACAATTAATGTGAATTTTTCGTTCTATTTAACAATTTATTCATGCTTCTTGTAATTTTAAATGTTTTCACCCCAGATCTTTGACTACAGGAATAAGTTCCATATTTTGATGTTCTAATGATTAAGAAATGACTTATCTCAAAGAATAGCTGCATATGCAGACTGGTATCCCATTTTGAGAAGGGCCACCTCAATTTATTATTGGTTTCTAAAAGGAAGTCATGGGAAAAAACTAAGAATGAAGAAAGGTGAATTTGAAATTTTCTTAAAGGCCATTGATGTGATTATCTTGGGAAAAGACAATATGAGAGCTATGAACTCATTTAGGCCTCAGAATGTACTCTGTAATGGAGATAGCTTTCTATGGGTGTGCAAGATTTGATTATAAGAGTGTTTTCTTCTCTCCTGCCTCACTCTTTCAACTAGCCACTTGGGAAGATAAATCAATGAGAGGTAGACCCTGGTTTTGATGGAGAAGAGCAAGGGGAGGGAACCTGTAGAATCTGAGCCTTAGCTGTGAGGTCTGCCTAACACACTGGCATCTTCTTCCTTCTCAGATGAGGCTCTGACAATGGTCTTCAATTCTTCCCAGACAATAGACTTGGTAGAGGCTCATCTCCTTTGAGGGCCTCCTGGTCCATGAACTTCTGCTGTCTTGGGACCTTGGGTGTGAGGCTTGACATGGAGGTGAGAGGTCACAAAGGGTTGGTGTCCCATTCTTCTTTGTCCATGATCTCAATAATTTGCCTCTTTTCACTTTATAAAAATGCCTACTGCTAGGAAGGCTCAATTTGATTGGTCCATGTGCAAGGGTTAGGCTTGTTCCCTATTTTGAATTCCCCTAAGTTGTAAATTGAGACCAACTGAAACAAACAAAATCTAACATTTATTGGATCTCATGTGTGTAAGACCCTCTGCCAGCCACTTTCAGAGCCTAACACAAAATAATATCAAGTGGCTACTTTTGAGGTACAACCTTCTCCAGAATGTATAATGAACTGAAGCCAATTTACTAATCAGACTGACCATGCTTATTCATTCAGGAACATCAGGAACGTGGGAAATTTTCAAAAATACACTCTGTATGAGCTAGTACTGGCTAGCTCCTGAACATTGTGACTCAATGTCACAATACTGGCTAGCTAATCTTAACATCCTTTTGTAAGCTGAAAAACATTGTAAATATATTTTCTTAACATGCATGGAGATAATGCAAGTTTTCTTATAGTGCCAGTTCTAAAACCTAATTCCATAGAGTAAGGACTCTGGAAGCAAAGCAGACATCAGTTAAAATATCTCTTCAAAAAGGAATAGCGGGGAAAGCCATCAGACTATCTCCTTGCTTGGACATAGTGTGTGTGCTTCGGACTCTATTTCTTTTTTAGGATTAAAAAAGAAATCTAAGTGAGATTGGTTCGCAATTTTCTTTTCTCATACTGACTACATCATATCTTGTTATCAAGATAATACTGGGCTCATAGTCACTTGGATAGCTGGTATAGGAATTATCTGTTCCTATAGGTGTTATGAAACTGTTCTATTAAGTCATTTGCATCTGCTGGTTTTTTTTGGTGGGGGCATATGATGAAGGTTTTTCCTACGAATTCAATTTATTTAAAGGCTATTGTTTTATTTATATTTACTATTTCTTTTTGAATCAAGTTTTGCAATTAATATTTTTACTAGAAATTTATCTACTTCATCTAAATTATCCTCCCTAATTCATCTAGAATTAGATGCATCCACTTCATCTAATTCACACTTATATATGAAATTGCTTATAATATTTTTTAAAACATCTGCAATGTGAGTAGTGAAATTTCCTAATATATTCATTTGTACTTTTCCCCACTTCTCCTCTTTTTGTTGGTCATTCTAGACACATATTTGAGTATAAATGTCAATGGGAATAGAGAAGTGGAGATTATTGAGGAGAAGAGCTGGTGGGACAAGTAGAGGTAGGAGCAGATGTCTATGGTTTTGATTTTAAGGTGAGAGAAATAGTAGTGATTTTACATGCTGATGGGAACTATCCATTAAAGACAAAATGTGATGTGAAATTAAGATGGGGAAATTGCTGGAGTGTTGGCATTCCTGAGTGAGTGAGAGGGCACCAGGTAGGGGGGTGGGTTCTAGAGGGGAGCACAGTAATAAGCAGGAAGGTGGGAGGTGTGGCACAGACTGTGGAAGGTTGATAGATGTGGTGGGAGATGGCGAAATTTCCCTTGGTTGCTTCAATTTTCTGAGAGAAAGTCGAATCAGCTGCTGAGAGTAAGAACAGGGGATGAGGTATTGCAGGTGTGAACAAGAGAAGAAAGAGAAGAGTAAACTGAAGACTGTGGTCTAGGGAAATGTACAACTTCTGGCTGAATTCAGGGCTCACTTGAGGTTCGTAAGTCCTGGCATCATGGTTCTGTGGTTCACTTCAACTAAGTTAGGCCTATAATGAGAGGAGAGTTGGATTTAATCAGGATTGTGATTTGTCAAGCTAGCACTTTAAAATGTGAGAGGGGTTGAGTAACTCAGGGTGTATACAAGGGGGTTACTTCGTAATGGCTGACCATGAAATTTTAGTAGAGGGAAGAATGGGCACTGATAGAATTAATATATCAATATCCAAATGTGGTTTAAAATTATTGGAACTGGGTCTGTTACAGAGAATAAATGGAAAAGCTAGGAGCTTATGGTAAGAGAGTGGAAGCTATAATAAAGATTAAAGTCATTGCAACTATTGCTAAGGACAAGATGAGGGTACAGTGGCAATGTGTGATGGAGGTAAGGTGGAGGACAAGATCAAGAGAAATACAAGGAATGGAGAGGTCTGAATACTGAAAAGGTGATGACTAGGAGTGGAGCTAGAGACTGAGAATGAGCTGGGAGTTATAGGAGCAATGTGGAGTGACCTGGAAGTCAGGGGCTGAAGGCAGCAAGATGGGAGAGTGGCTGGAATAGGGGTTTAGAAAACAGGAAAGATCTGAAAGTGGTGATGACAAAAAACTAGGTCAAATGTTTTAGTAGATTTGGGAGACAATATAGCATTCTTGTGGGGTTCAGAAGAGATAAATTGTCTCCAGAAAGACTCTTTGTGACATGATGTGGATAGGAATATAAGAAGTCTCTTGTCTACTAAATCAAGCATGTTTATCTGCTCTGCACATTCAACGAAGTTACAAATCCTTTTTCAAATATTTTGCAATAAGGAAAAGCAAGATGTGTTTTTCTAGCACTTTCCCCCGCAAACCACATTTTTCTGGGGGAGGCTATTTTTGGTTTGTTTCCACTGGACTCATCAAAATGTTTATGGGACTCATCAAAATGTTTATGGGCAAAATCTATTTGCTAAAAAAAATTCGTAGTTTTTTTTTCTTAAAAAGAATTAAAAACCTTTCCTCACACTCCTTGTGAATTAGAAGTAAAATTGGAAACTTTAGATATGAAGACTATGGCTTTGGATTTTTTTAAAGGAGACTAGAGGAATAAGATTGTAAATCCAGCATTTTTTTTCTTTTGGTTCCCAGGTAAAAGAACAATTTTTTTCAAACATCAAAAAAAAAATGTGCTCTTTTCTACATACTTAAGATAAAAGTTCAGCTGAATCACCGGATCTGACTGCTAATTAATGAGGCCATAAATTTTTTATAGACTTTTTTTTAAAGATTAGGTACACAGCAAAAATGAGCAAGTGGCCAGAGGTTTTTCATATGCTCTCTGTCTCCACACATGCACAGCTTTCTCTGTTAACATTCACCATCAGAGATGTACATCCAAAAGTCCTTAGTTTATATCAGGTTCACTCTTGGTGTTGCCCATTCTAGGAGTTTTGACAAATGTGTAATGACATGCATCCACCATTATAGTGTCATATAGAGCAGTTTCACTACTCTAAATATCCTCTGTGCTCTGTTTATCCCTCCCTCTCCTGGCAATCACTAAGCTTTTTACTATCTCTGTAGTGTAGAATATCATATAGTTAGAAGCACAGAGTATGTAGTCTTTACAGACTGGCTTCTTTCACTTAGTAATATGCATTTAAGATCTTTCTGTGTCTTTTTATGGCTTGATAGCTCCTTCTTAGCGTTGAGTAATATTCCATCGTTTGGTGTACCATAGTTTATCTATCCATTCTCCTAATGATAGGCATCTTAGCTTCCAAGTTTTGGCAATTACAAATAAAATCTCTATGACTTTCTGCATGTGGGGTTTTTTTTTGTAGACATAAGTTATCAATTCATTTGAATAAATTACAAGGAGCTAGCTTGCTGCATTATATGGTAAAAGTGTGTTTAATTTGTAAGAAACTGACAAACTGTCTTCCAAAGTGGCTGTACCATTTTGCATTTCTACCAGCAATGAATGAGAGTTCCTGTTGCTCCACATTTGGTGCTGTTAGTGTCCTGGATTTTGATCATTCTAATAGGTATGTAGTGGTGTCTCAGTATTTTAATTTGCATTTCTCTGATGACATATAATATGTAGCATATTTTCATGTGCTTATTTGCCACCTGTATATTTTCTTTGATGAGTTGTCTATTAAGTCCATTGGCTCATTTTTGGTCAGGTTGCTTGTTTTCTTGTTGTTGAGTTTTAAGTTCTTTACATATTTTGGATAATTGTCCTTTACCAGATGTCTTTTGCAAGTATTTTCTCCAAGTCTGTAACTTATTTTTTTCATTCTGTTGACAGTGTCTTTCACAGAGCAGAAAATTTTAATTTTAATAAAATCCAGTTTATCAACCCTTCCTTTCATTAAGTCATGCCTTTGATGTTGTATCTAAAACATAATTATCATATGCAAAGTCATCTAGGTTTTCTCTTGTGTCATCTTCTAGGAGTTTTATGCTTTTTTGGTTAATATTTAGGTCTGCGAAATATTTTCAGTTAAGTTTTTTGAAAAGTGTGTGTCTGTGTCTAGATTCTTTTTTTCTTTTTTGCATGTCAGTGTTCAGTTGTTCCAGCACCATTTGCAGAAAAGACAATCTTTGCTTTATTGCATTGCCTTTGTCAAAGATCAGTTGACCATGTTTATGTGGGTCTATTTCTGGGCTCTCTACTCTGTTCCATTGATCTGTTTGTCTATTGTTTCACCAATACCACACTGTCTTGATTTATGTAGCTTTATAGTAAGTCTTAGAATTTGAGTAGTATCAGTCTTCTGACTTTGTTCTTCTCCTTCAATGTAAGTTGGCTATTCTGGGTCTTTAGCTTTAGAATCATTTTGTTGACAGCCACCAAGTAACATACTAGTATTTTTACTGGAACTGTTAAATCTATAGATAAAATGAGAAAGAATGAACATCTTGATAAAATTGAGTCTTTCTATCCATGAACATGATATATCTCTGTTTACTTATTCTTTGATTTTGTTCAACAGTTTTATACTTTTCCTCATATAGATCTTGTATATATTTTGTTAGATTTATACCTAAATATTTCACTTTTGGGGGTGCTAATGTACATGGTATTATGTTTTTAATTTCAAATTCCATTTGTTTTATTGCTGGCCTATACTTTTGTATATTAACCTTGTACCCTGCAACCTTGCTGTAATCACATATTAGTTCCAGCAAGGTTTTTTGTTGTTGTTGTTGTTGTTGTCTTTTCAAATATCTTCTACATAAGTAATCATGCCATCTAAGAACAAAGATGGTTATATTTTTCTCTTACTAGTCACTATAATCTTTTCTTCTTTTCTTTTTTCTCTTTTCTTTTCTCTTATTTCATTAGTTAGGACTCTCAATGTGATGTGGAAAAGGAATGGTGAAAGGGGATGTCTTTGTCTTCTCCTTGATCTTGTGTGAAAATTTCAAGTTTCTCATGATTAAGTGTAGTGTTAGCTGTCGGATTTTTGTAGATATTCTTTGTCTAGTTCAGGAAATTTCTCTGTATCCCAAGTCTGCTGAGAGTTTTTATTATAAATTGGTGTTTAATTTTATCAAATGCTTTCTCTGCATCTATTGATATGATCATGTGATTTTTATTATTTAGTCTGTTAATGAGATGGAGTATATTAATTTTTGAATGTTGAACCAGCCTTGGATACCTGGAATAAATCCAACTTGGTTGTGTTGTATAATTCTTTTTATATATTATGGAATTTGATTTGCTAAATTTTGTTGAGGATTTTTTTATCCATGTTCATGAGAGACACTTGTCTGTAGTTTTCTTGTAATGTTTTTGTCTGGTTTTGATATTAGGTAATGCTGGCCTCAAAGAATGTATTAGGAAGTATTTCCTCTGCTTCCTTCTTCTAAAAGTAATTGCAAATGATTGACATTATTTCTTTCTTAAATATTGATATGATTTATCAGTGAATCCATCTGGGCCTGGTACTTTCTGTTTTGAAGGTAATTGATTACTGATTCATTGTCTTTAATAAACATAGGCCTACTCAGATTATCTATTTCTTCTTGTGAGAGTTTTGGAAGATTGTATTTTTCAAACAATTGGTCCATTTCATCAAGGATTTTCAATTTGTGGGCATAGAATTTTTCCTTGTGTTTCTTTATTATCCTTTTAGTGTCCATGAGATCTGTAGTGATGTCCCATCTTTCATTTCTGATATTAACAATTTGCCTCCTTGCTCTTTTTTTCTACTTAGCCCAGCTAAAGCTGTATCAATTTTATCGATCTTTAAAAAAATTAGATTTTGATTTCATTAATTTTCCCTATTGATTTCCTGTTTTCAATTTCATTGATTTCTGCTCTAATTTTATACTATATTTCCCTCTGCTGATTTTAAATTTAATTTGCTCTTCTTTTTCTAATTTCCTAAGGTAAGAGCTTAGATGATTGAGTTTAGATCTTCCTTCCTATTATATTCATTCAATATTACAAATTTCCCTCTAAACACTGCTTTTACTGTACCCCACAAATTTTGATAAGTGGCATTCTCGTTTTTCTTGGTTCAAAATATTTTTTATTTTTATTGAGGATTTCTTCATTGGCTCAGGGGTTATTTAGAACTGTGTCCAAATATTTTGGATTTTCCAACTTTCTGTTATATATTTCTAGTTTAATTCCACTGTGGTTTGAGAGCAGACAATGTATAATTTCTATTTTTAAAATTTGTTAAGGTGTATTTTATGGCCCAGAGTATAGTCTATCATGGTGAATGTTTCATGTGATCTTGGGAAGAATGTGTTTTCTACTGTCAGTGCATGTAGTAGTCCATAGATTTTAATTATACCCAGTTATTGATGGTGTTGTTGAGTTACTGATATTCTGCCTACCACATCTGTACATTTCTAATAGAGGATTGTGGAAATATCCAACTATAATAGTGAATTCATAATTTCTTCTTGCAATTCTATCAGTTTTTGCCTCATGTATGTTAATGCTCTGTTGTTAGGCACATGAACATTAAGGATTGCCATATCTTTTTAGATAACTGACTCATTTATCATCATGTAATGTTTCTGTTTATCCCCGATAAGTTTCCATGCTCTGATGTCTGCTCTGTCTGAAATTAATATAACTACTTCTGCATTCTTGGGATTAGTGTTAGCATTGGCTGTTAATTTTTAATTTTTTTCCATCAAAGTAAGGGCTTTGATAAAAAGCCTTCACATTACTAAAACTCAAATAGTGCAGAGGACATTTTCATCAAAAACAATATCATTCCTCTTTTACCTACCCTCTCCGTTAGTTCTCCTCTTCCAGAACAAATGCTGGTTTTAGTTACACTCTCAGACATTTTGCCCAAGATAATAATTATATCCTCCTGGATTACTTTTCCCTACATTTGCTTATATGTCTTTATTTTTAATTTATTAACTTTTGATATTGTTTATTTACTGCTGTGATAAATAAAGATTTAACTTTCTTACAGCACACCCTTTGCTTCCTCTTTCCTCTCAATTTAGTTATTTAGTATTTTTATACTGGTTACCACTACAATTTTAGATTACATTTTTAGTTTCCATTTCTTCTTCCATAGGCAGCATCTCTTGACTCCTTATTTTGTATTGTGAACCACATCTAGTCTTCTTTCCAGCTTATATCCCTCTAACAAATTCAATATTTCTCCAACTCTAACTTTACTTTTATATAATCAAAGTTCTTGACACTAAAACTTTGTCACGTAACTCTTGTCTATGGGTTGACTATAGAGAGCTAAAATCAACTCCATCTATTATAGTACTCTGATTTCCACTAACCCATTGAGACCTATGTAGTGTTTTGATCCTATTATCTTTTCAACTTCATTTACCCTCATGGCCACAATTTCTTACTTATCTAGTTTATTTATTTTCATTTTTATTTTTGAGACAGAGTCTCACTATGTTGCCCAGGCTGGAGTCCAAGACCCATAGTGGATGGCTGAAAGCATGGATAGTACCTAATCATACACACACACACACACACACACACACACACACACACACACACAGACACACACACTGTGTTTTTTGCATATATATATGGAACATATATATACACATACCTATGATATAATTTGTAAAATTTGTACATATATACCTATATATATACACACACATATATATTATATGTATACATTTGTGTGTGTATACACACACACATATTCTGATATACACACACATGCCTATATAGGTATAAGTATAGGTGTAAGTATAAACTTTATATACTTATAAACCTATTTGTTGATATATATATACCTGTATATATACCTATGATAAATATATATACCTCTATATATATATCTATGATAAAGTTCAACTTAAAAGTTAGTCAAGATAAGAGATTAATAATAATAACTAATAATTAAATAAAACAATTATAACTATGCTGGCCTCACAACTCTTGTGCTTTGGGGTCATTATTGAGTAAAATGAGGGTAACTTAAACACAAGCACTGTGATATTGTGACAGTTGGTCTGATAACCTAGATAGCTACTAAGTGACAGTGTGGATACACTGGACAAAGAGATGATTTACATTCCAAGTGGGATGGGGCAGGATGGCATGAGATTTCGTCCCACTTCTTACAAGAGCACACAATTTAAAACTTATGAATTGTTTATCTTTAGAATGTTTCATATAATATTTTCAATTGGCCATGGGTAACTGAAACCATGGAAAGTGAAAGTATGGATAAAAGGGACCTACTGTATACAATATCCAGCAGTGTCTCCCCTAGGTTAGCAAATACTTGGGTTCTATTTCTCCCTGCAGATTTCTGTCTTTCCTCAGATTACAGGTTTGTTGCTTTCTCTAAACTCAGTTATTTAATGGGTTCAATAAAAGTTATTGATTTTGAAGAGTTTGTACAGCTATTTTTATGTTATAACCATGGGAGCAATGTTCTTTCCAGTTCTCTGCATGTTCAGGCTCATAATGACATGTTTAAATGTATCTCTTCTTGTTCTTTCAATCTGAAGATTCAAGACTTAGAGCTCTGATATTTTATTTTGAATTACAATTGACAATCTAAATCATATCTATCCTTTGGAATGTCTAATTTCCATCTTTTTGTCATTTTTATTGATTTCTAGGGGAGGCTTTTAACTTCATCTTTTAGTTATTCTGTTGAAATTTTTTAAAGTCAGATTGATTAAGTCATACTTTTCCATGTAGTAAAATTCACCCTTTTTAGTATACAGTTCTATGAGCTTTGACAAGCATACACAGTAATGTAAACATCATTATAATGAAGATGTGGATTAGAAAAAAACAATTCCCTTTTTCCTTTGTAGTCAACTACTCCTTCTACCCTTAGGTCTACAGATCTGTTTTCAGTTCCTATTGTTTTGCCCTTTTGAGAATGTCGAGAAATAGAATCATAGAGTATAAAGACATTTAAATCTGATTACTTTTATTTAGCCTAATGCATTTAAATCTTACCCATATTGTTGTATTATCAATAATTTGTTACTTTTTATTGTTGAGTAGCATGCCATTGTATGGACATACCACAGTTTAGATGTAATTTAGAATGAATTCACATGTTGAAGGACATTTGGGTATTTTCCAATTTTAGATGATTATGTACGAAGGTTTTTATGTAAAAATACATCTTTTTTCTCTTGCCTAAATACTAAAATTTAAAAATTAACTTTCTTATTATAAATTTCTAAGATGTTTTTCTTATTCTCTGGGCATGCTTGTTTTGTTTGTTTGTTTTCCATTGCACTTAATCCTGGTTTTATGTATAAAATATCTTTTCAAACATCTGTGAGGATTCCAATGAAATATTTAATAATATAAATCAAATTCTGCTCTTTGAACTTTTTGTTTCCTTTGGAATCTTTTTCTGTTCATTTTTCTAGGTATATCATTATTTAGTCATTTTTAAACAAGTTGGCATTCTTTCATTGCTCATATTTGTTTAAGAATGAGACAATAGATATTTTCATATGTCCTAACATATTAGGATGGCTAGTATCAAAAAGATAAGAGATAACAAGAGTTAGCAAGAGTGGAGAAAAGGGAACTCTTCTACACTGTTGGTAAAAATATTAATTGATACAGCCATTTTGGAAAATAATATAAAGGCTCTTCAAAAAATTAAAAATATTTCAGTGCTGTTCATAATAACTAACCTTTGGGAGGTGGAAGCGAGGGTAGAATGGGAAATAGGAAGATGTTGGTCGAAGGGAACAAAGTTTCAGTTAGACAGGAGGAATAAGCTTTAGAGATCTATTGCACAGCATGGTGATTATAGTAAATAATAATGTATTACATATTTCAAAATTGCTAAGTGTACAATTTTAAATGTTTGCAACCCAAAAATGGTAAATATGTAAGTTGGTATATATATTAACTACTTGATGTAAACATTCTATGATGTATACATACACCAAAGCATCACATTGCACCCCATAAATATATACAATTACTATGTCAATTTAAAAAAATTTAAAAGGTAACTATTTGAAGTGATGGATGTGTTAATTTGCTTGACTGTGATAATCATACTATGTGTATGTACATCAACATATTATTTTGTATACCTTAAACACATAAAATTTAAAAAATAGTTGCATGTGTGCTCCATATATTTTCATGAAACTTGTTGATTTGGATGGAAGAGATAGGACAGAGGGTTTATTAATAATTTTAGAAATAAAGATTTTGACTTAATCTTCCAGTATTAATTCTGTGTTTCCTCCTCTGTGTCTTCCTAAGACTCTTCCTGGAGTCTCCCCTTGAGGTTACATTTGCATGCCTTTCCCCCATAACTTTCTTCTCCACATAAGACAACCAAATATGATGTCTGTCTCTTGAAAACGTCTGTCTCTTGAAATATGTCTGTCTCTTGAAATATGTCTGTCTCTTGAAATATGATGTCTGTCTCTTGAAAAAGGTCACTTTCTTGTGACCAAGGAAGTGGTGTGGCCAAAGCAAAGGTAGCCAAGCCTAGCAGAGTATCTGGCCCACCTGGAAAAAAAAATTAACCACAAATTCCTGAGATCCACTCTAAGAGATGCTGATTCAGAAGCTCCCCAGGTGACATATGCATAGCTGGATTTGAGAACTACCACCCTAAAGTAATTGTTTTTGAAGATTAATCTCATAGTAGGTAATAAATTTATTTTAAAATGCCCTCTTTGTTACTGATTTACCTTGATAACAGACTGAGTTATAGTGTTTAATAATCATTTACACACATATTACCTCTCACATTTATCCATAAAGTTTTTTAAATAAAAAAGCTATAAAAATAGCTAAAATAAACACCACCACTCCCACTTGAAAAAGAGACAGACATCATATTGGGGATAGAATATCAGCTTTATTCCTGAAAAAGTTGGGTGACATGTGGTAGATTGGACTTGTGGCAGCACTGGCTTTTTATTATTTGTTCTCCAAAAGCCTAGATTTGAACCCAATTTAAACCTATAAACAGGATATACATTTACCAAGCCAGTTTAAGATCCCACAGCCACTGGGTCTTAATAATGATAAGCTTCCAGGCTTGGACATATGTGTTCCTTCCACGTAGAACAGAGTGGGAGGTCTTCAATAGACTGGCCAATTCCTAAAGTGACCACTCAGAGATGTGCTCACATATATTCCTACCAATTACATAATTTACTCTTCTTTTGATTCAGGAGGGTGGAAAGAAGGGTAGAATCCTTCCTTGGCTGTAAATGCCTTTGGCTGTTTTTTAGTTATGGCTTATTTTGATATGCATCTTTTAATATTACCACATCCAAGTTATGTTGAAGGTAAATTTACTAAAAGCGCTTGTCCACTGTGGTCTTTTCCCCATTTTCTTCATAGTTCTCTATTTATACCTACAACCTACAGTATATTTTTAATTATCATTTGTGGAGTCAAAAATGGGAGAAAAACGGTGACTGTTTATTTCTCTATTTTGAGCTAGAAACTACTAGTTGTGATTTTTAATGTCATTTAAGATATTTATCAATTATTTGATGAAAATTTGTTTAGATCAAAATATATACCATGTGGTATGCCAAGATTCAGAAGCTTAAAAATGAATTAAACATTATTTTCCCTGAAAAAACTTTATGGATAAATGTGATTGGCAATAAGTGTGTAAATGATTATCAAACACTATAACTCAGTCCGTTATCAAGGTAAATCAGTAACAAAGAGGGCATTTTAAAATAAATTTATTACCTACTATGAGATTAATCTTCAAAAACAATTACTTTAGGGTGGCAGTTCTCAAATCCAGCTATGCATATGTCACCTGGGGAGCTTCTGAATCAGCATCTCTTAGAGTGGATCTCAGGAATTTGTGGTTAATTTTTTTTTCCAGGTGGGCCAGATACTCTGTTAGGCTTGGCTGCCTTTGCTTTGGCCATACCACTTCCTTGGTCACAAAACTGTAGTTCCTTCCTATGGCTTACAGATTCTAAAGTCCTTGCCTTGGCATTCCAGTAAACAATTACATTTCCAAGACTTCTCTTTCTCCTTTTATCAAGCCATTTGAGTCTGATTGGGCAGCCCACTATTTGTAACTAGTATATCTGGACAGTCTTTTTCCTTCCATGAAATTGCAGTTTTTCAAAATTTCCTCTTTATCATACTTACTCTTTAAATCTCATTTCTCCGTAAGGACTTTCCTGATCATGCTAATAAATTGTGATTTCTCAATTTTTTGAATTTTTGATACATTTTCCTGTCATTTCTTGAGCACCAACTATGTGGCAGGTGCACTAAGTGCACACGGATAAATAAAACATCTTTTGAACATTGGGGATTTTCAGGCCAGTGAGAAAATAGACAATGATATAACAGTTATATGACAGTAGGGTAATTGACATCTGAGATGATTCTTGAAGGATGAGTTTAACTTACATAGGTACAGAAGCTAGAGAAGAGGGCAAATGCAGTTCAAATAGAAAGGAAAATAAATGTAAAGCCATAGAGAATATAGATAATATATTATATTAGGGTAATTGCAAGTAGAACACTTGGATTCATTCCAAAGTCACCAAAAATGATGAAACTTCAAGGTCACCAAGAAGGATGAAACTGAAGAACCTAACAGGGTGATTGTTAAGGGCTTTGAAGTTCTTAGTAAATATTATAAGAAATAGGAAACCACTGAGGGATTATAAAATGGGGGAAGTGACATGATCAGTTTGCATTTTGTCAAACTACATTTCTGGTGGAAGCAGAGAGCTGGACTCTTATGTTGTAAGATCGGAGGCAGTGAAAGCCATTGAAAGAGTGTCATGGTAATCATGGTGAAAGATGATGGTATATATCAACTCTCTAAGTGAAGATGTTGGCTGTGGAGATTCAGAGAAGGAGACAGGGTAGAGGTACACAAAAGAAAATTAAACAGGGTGGGTGGGAATGACCCCAGGAGGATGAGAACCTGGGTTGGTAGGGTATTATTCCTGAAGAAACAGAACTTTGGATCAGAACCTGTAAGGCACAAAAGAGAATGTGTTCACTTCTGAATTAATTGATTTCAAATTTAGATTATTAGTGAGCAGATGAATATAGAGATCTGGAGTTTAAATAAGAAAGCCAGGTGAAAGTACTGATAGGTGAGGTAATGAAAGTGGATAGGATGAAAAGAACCAAGGAGAGAGTATGGTGGCAATGCTTGGGTGACTGCTGATGTTTAATGGACAGGCAGAGAAAGATGAGCTCACACACGACCCTGAATAGGACTGGCCAGAAAGAGTAGGGAAATTGGAAGGCAATGTTTATTACAGAAGTCATGGAAGTAGAGAAGCTCAGGAAATCAGAAATAGCCAAATGTAAAATTCACAGAGGAATCTTCCAAGAGAAAAATTTAAAAGAAACAAATGTATTAAGTCTGGCAGTCAGGAGTTCATTGGTCACCTTGGTAAAAGCAATTTTAGTGGAGTGGTGAGGTTGAAAGTATACTGTAGTGGATTTAAGCAAGAATTATACATGAGAAAATAAGGACAATGAATGTAGACAACAGATCTGCTGGGACAGGAGGAGAGAGAAATTAAGAAAATGGCAATTCAAATTTGAGGTTTTTATTTGTTTCCTCAGATGTGTAAGATTGAAACAAGTTATGTATGAAGAAGAAAAGGCAATACTGAAAGGAGATATAGAGAGAAAATGGTTGCTGAAGGGAAGAAATGGTTGATAAAGGCATGTCCTAAGCTGATGGGAGGTAAGAGGATGGAATCTAAAGCCCAGGAGCAGGGATTGGCCTCAGGAAGAAGAAACGTTCCTCCCACTGATTTTCAACTGGTAATAGAAGAAAACTTTGTGAATTTTAATTCCAACGGCTGAACCCAACACTGTAAACATAGCATTAGAAAATGTTAAGTAACCTACTGTATTTTAGAACTTTATTGAATTCTATACATATTTACTGTGTTACATTTGTTATATGTGGGGAAAACTTGGGCAACTGTAACATTTCTACTAACATTTCTTAGTAGAAAACATGCTATTTTGGGAAGTGAAATTAGTAGAGAAATGAATAGCCATTTTTAATGATACCAGTGCAGTAATGAGATTGAAAACAAGTATACAAATGACTGAGCTAACTGTCATCAATTAGAAATGATCTTACTTTTTGGCACCAGGAAGTGCATGATTGAAGATAAGATTGATTTTGAAAATCATTTAAAGACTGCTAATAATCTTAGATGATAAAGCCAATGTAAAATTATAATTTCAGAATCAACAACATCTTGACAATATTGTCAAAAGTAAAAAAAGTTAAATTATGTGAGCAAATCTGTGAATCTTGTCTGCTGTGCTTGCTACAATATGATGAATTACTGTTTTTTAATTATGTCAATTGTTCAAAAGTAGCATCCAGTTTGGGCCTGGAAGGGAAAGAGCAAACTAGTTTTTTCCTTTCCCTGGGAAAATAATAATCAAGCTAGAGGATCTTGATTTAGGTAATTTCTTTATGATCCTTATTCATTTGAGGCACTAGTACACTGTTCTGAATATACATTTAATAACGTTAAAAACTTGTAGTCTGCCTGATTTTCTGAGATTTCAGAGATTCCTATGATGACTTAGTTTCTTACAATTACATCTGTGCTTTCAACAGCAAAATGGAAATTAGGAATATAGATAATCAGGGTAAATAAAAAATTTTATACTAGCAAATAGAAATTAATGTTTATATTCAAAATGTATAAAGCTTTTAGTGTTGATAAGGGAAATAGTAGGATGAATATCTCTAAGACCTTATCTTGTAAGTTACTTAAATAATGCTCCTAAATAATGCTTCTCTCAAACTTAACAGCAGTAATCTCCAGGTGAATAACCAAGGGCTTATGGCATATTAATTTTCAGTTGTTAACTAGGGAAATAAAGTTTCTAAACGTAAATTTAAAACTAGATTAAAATGCAGTGCTTTAGGTGTGATTTTAAATGTATACGATACAGTTATATGGTGGATATCTTAATGTGATGATTTCTAGCCACTTTCATTCCAGATAAACTAGCTCAGAGAAAGTGCTTCTATTTGATAACTTTTAGACTAAAGTCAATTCCCAAAAAATATCCAGATAATACTCATGGACATTTTTATAATAAATGAAGTAAATAAATTATTGGAAAATGTAGTAGCAATCAACCCTTTCTATGTTATTGTGGTTGTTTTTGATCAGCAAAATTATTCCATAATGGAGTATATTTTGGTGGTTCTTTGATAGTGTTCTTCAAATCTTCTGTATTCTTATAATTTCCAGTCTACTTTCTGTATTAATTACTGAGTGAGAAGTGTTGAACTTTTCAACTTAATTGTGGATTTTTCTTTTTTTTCTATTAGTTTTTGCTTTATGTATTTAGAGGTCTTATTATTAGGTGCCTACATATTTAAGAATGTTAAGTCTTCTTGAATTGTCTTATTAATCATCATCATGTCTCTATCCCTGATAATCTTATTCTGAAGTTTATTTGACCTGATAGTAACACAGTCACTTCAGTTTTTTTAATGAGTATTTGCATGATATTTTCACCTCTTGTGATCTCTGTTGTTACATTTTAGGTAGATTTCTTATAGGCAGTGTAAAGTTGGATCTTGATTTTTAAAAATCTAACCTGAATATCTGACTTTTGAGATGTCTGACCATTTCCATAAATGTAATTATTAAATCTTCCTTCTTCCTTTTGCCTGCTCTTTATCTTGTTTTTTTGTTTCCTTTTTCCTCTTTTTCTTTATTCTTTTGAATTAATTGAGTATTCTCAAATTTTAGTGTCTCTACTCAGTGTATAGTTATATCTATTTTGAGGAGATGGTTGCTCTATGATTTATGATATATATCTTTAGCTTAACATAGTATTTCTTGTAATAGCATTATACTTCCTCAAAGTATAAGACTTATAATTGCATATTTCTAGTTCCTCACTTCCATTCTTTGGGTTACTTTTGTTATACAGTTACTTTTACACATATTGTTATATGTAAAATATACATAATTGTTGTTATTTGTGTGTGTTGAGGTTCCCAGAAATTCTTGATGCTGTCTTTTAAAATTATTATTTTCTTTCATTAATTTTGGAAAATTCTTGCCCATAATCACTTCAAATATTTATTTTGTCTGCTCTCTCTCTTTGCCTTCTGGGACTCCAATTACACACATGTTAGCTCTTGGGTACCATTTCATTTATCACACACCTTTGTGTTTTAGTTTGGATATTTTCTATTGACATTTCCTCAAGTTCACTCATTGTTTCTTTAGCTATATTCAGTCTGTTGATTAGTCTGTCAATCCCTTATAATTACTTTCTTGTGTCATTATTTCTATTTCACTCTTAAATTCCTCATCTGTTAGGGAGAGGAATTTACCTACTTTACTCACTTTCCACTATACCCTTTAGTGTAATAATCATAATTCTTTTAAAATACCAATAAAACATTGTATAATGAATAGTCTATTGCCTGGAACTAATATTGAAAGAAAACATTCCATCGTTAGCTGGGTTTGTACATGAATCTCTGCTTCAGAACGTCAGCAAATTGAGTTGGACCATATGGCCTATGCTAAACAAGGCCTAAGGGGTTCTCTCTTCCACTAACTAAAAGGTGGATAATACTACCAGTTACCAAATGGATCTAAAAACAAAGAGAGGAAAGTATTAGTTCAGTTTATGGTTCTGCAACATTGATGGAATATAACAACAAGAATAGAATCTGGCCTGGCATGTTGGCTCACAACTGTAATTCCACAAATTTGGGAAGCCAAGGCAGGAGGATCACTTGTTGTCAGGAGTTAGAGACTGGCCTGGGCAACATAGCAAGATCCTGTCTCTACAAAAAAAAATTTAAAAATTAGCTGGACATGATGGTGCATGCCTGTAGTCTCAGCTACTTGGGTGGCTGAAGTGGGAGGATCACTTGAGCCTGGGATGTCAAGGCTGCCATGAGCTGTGATTGCACCACTGCATTCCAGCCTGGGTGACAGAGTGAGATTCTGCCTCTGCTCCAAAAAAGAAATCACAGTATAGTGCTTGGCTTTTAAACCATAGTGGCCACTCTTCATTTAAAATGTGGGCAAATCAACATCTTGATATCCCCAGAGAAGGGAAGTAAGCTGTGTTAGAAAGAAGAACCTGGAGAGGTTCCTCTCCTTAGATGCTTATGCTTAAAAGAAAAGTAAATCAGTTTGTGTGTAACTTAAAGATTCATACTATATTAATTTCTCATATATCTGGATAAGGCTTACTCTATTTAGATTGGGGCTAATGGGTTTTAAGTGTTATTTCACAAAGGGGCTTTACACCTAAAAACAAAACCAACCATAAGTGAAAAACTAGTTATTTAGAAGGTGTTTGGATAAAATAGCAATATAAATGTGAAGCAAAAAGGAAAATCATAAGAAATGCAGAGTGGAAAAATATATGCATAGTTGAACTACAACATTTAAAATTTTTCATACAGGCCATTTCATTCAAATGAAGAAACATATTCATAATTTGTACTGTGAGTGACAACATCCATCAAGGTTAAGTTTGGCCAGGTTCTTGGCTATTGCATACTAAGAGATTTTAATCTCTACATGTTTATAGATATGGTATCAAGAAGTGCTCACTGATGAAGAGTCATGCTTTGGGCAGTTTATAGAAAATTAGTTATTATTATGGATGGAATGCATCCCTGGGGAAAAAAGGAGAGCATTGAGACAGAGGAAGGTAGTCAGGAACTTGTGGAATCTTCACAACAAATCACTGTGAATGCAAAGTACTCATATGAAAGAGAGACTTGTCATTTTTGACCCAACTTTGAGTTATAGATTATCTTCTCCAACATGCCACATGACATGTATGTATAGTGTGGTTTAATTTTATCTTAAATGAAAGATGTACACATAAACTAGCCATTGAATATAAAACAACAAAGTAATTTGCAAATTTTCCTATGGCATAATAAATTAAGCATGGAAAACACTAGGAATGCAATTTGCAGTCATTTATAATGCAGTGTTTTATGTTAATAATTCAAAATCACATGCTATTTGGAGACACTTCTAATTAATGTATTTATGAAATTGTCAACTGTGACTGTTTTGGTTCCATTTAGCTAAACATTTCAACAGAATTTGCTTGTTGTCATTTAGTGTTTGCTTGATGGCACCAGCAACATCAAATGTAAGATAATGGAAGTTGACTGTGCTTTTTTTTTCCCCACATTGTTAAAGCTTCTTTCTGATCACACCTCTGAACAAGTTAAGCCAATGCCTGCCTCTCCTCCAGTGCCAAATTGAAATGCTTGAGATGCTTTGTTTAAAAGTTTGAAGTGAAAGAGAGACAAGTGCCTGAATCAATATAATTAATTGAAGAGGCAAGTTCATACCTTGTTAAAGTCTTTTAAATATTAAATACATTTCATATCTCAAATCCATAGACACTGGCATTTCTTTAGAGTGGATAATCATGCCTGTTAGGGGACATTTCTTTATGTTCTCATCTTTATTTGGATGGGTTTGAATATGAGGAGAAGGCTAAATATTCATAAGTTGGCATGTAGCATGTAGAAGTTATGACAATTGGAATTTGACCAAGCAAAGTTTAATCCTCCTGAGGGTATTTTAGTAAAACTAAAGAACAAAACAACTTCAAGACCAAGAGTAGTTAATGCAGGAATTCAGAACTGACTGTCATGGTATTCTGTAAATTCATAATAAGGAAAATGCTGCTGGCTTTCTTGCTCTATATTCAGGTGAGTCAAATATTAATTTCCTAGTCTTGGAAATTCTGTGAGATTTTGTATGACCTGAGTAGAATTTGATGTACTCTTTTTTCTCACCAAGAGAGGAGGCATTTTCCATCTTTCACTTGGATCACTGATGTGGCCTGAATTGGACAGAATAATTCAGATTATGAGTTCTATTTACATTGTACACTATTGTCACTCACTTGACAGCATGGGGGAGTAGCTGCTGGACAGCACCAAGCTTAATCCCTAATAACCTAAAATTGTCACATGTGGAAAAGAGATAGAGAGGAAACTGCAAAATGGCCTGGTAGGTCAAAGTTATCATTTTCATATCTAAAACCTACTTCTGATTATACAATGAAACCAGAACACTGAATAATGTGACATTGGGGAAAATATATTATATTGATGATTGTAGAAAGATTCAAAATATTAGATAACCTTAGGTTAAAAGGATGTTCTAGTTTCTGAATGGAAAACAAATTATGTTATAAATGCACATGGACAGGATTTTGGACCATAGAATGTTCTTTTAAAATTGTGAATTTAAAAATTCATTCTAAACCTGGGCAACCTAGCAAGACCTTGTCTCTAAAAAAATGTAAAAAAAATAGCTGGGCATGGTAGCATGTGCCTGAAGCTACTCAGGAGGCTGAGGTGGGAGGACCACGTGAGCCCAGGAGTTCAAGGCTGCAGTGACCTGTGATATCACCACTGCACTCCAGCCTGGATGATACAGTGAGACCTCGTCTCTAAAGAAATAAAAATAAAAAGTGATTCTGGTGTTAAAGAAAGGAAATAACTTAAAAATATTAGAATGCAACAGGGACAATGAGAAAATTTTAATATTTAGCAAAAATTTAATAATAAAATGTTAATCTAGAAAAATATCAAGATAATAAGTATATTTTCATGCCTTAAAATTATTAATTATCAAAGTTACCCTATAATGTTTTAACTGTCACACACATACAAATCTGAAAATCCTTGGCTTTTACATTTTAATTTATCTTTTTCCTCCATAAAATAACTAATTTAATTTTAAAGAACCTAAAAGTGTTTTTGTGTTTTCTTCAGATTTTTAAAGAAATTTATGTGGGGTCTAAAACTAGAATGAAATGTTAGGAACTTCAAATTGGTTTAGTGACAGAAATTTTTCTACAATGCAGAAATTAATAAGAAGATGGGGTTGTTTATTCTATAATTTCTAATTCTAATACCATTTGTCCTTAATATATATGATAAAAAGTGAAATTTTTGGGAAAATAAGGATAGGCAGATAATAGAAGAGAACACTGGGAAAATGAAGTGAAACCAGGGATAGAGTTAGAATATAAAATGAATATGTATCAAACAGTGAGTAAAGAATGTAGCTTTAAACTTAGTAGAGTCAAAAATAAAAAATAAAATATTTACAGTTAGAATATTTTCAGTGTCCATATAAACAGATGAGTTAATCTAGAGAAACCCAGCATTACATTACATTTCAAAATGTTTCCTGTGATTGCTTCTAAAGGAAGCTCTGTGTAATGTAGTGATCTATGTTTGCAATCACACAACAATAAATACATTAGCTGTGTGTTTGCATGCTAAGTCGTTCTTCAGTGAAGCCTGATGGGAAAATCGCGAGGTTGTAAGATGATATGTGGCTGCCTCAGTTTACTATAAAAACTGATTTTATTGTATTTTTCTCAAATGAAGGTTTCTCAAAATCATTTCCTAATTAACAGTTGCATTTTTAAAAAGTTTATTAAAGTATATTTTATGCTGGGACATGGCAGGAAGTATAAGCTTAATTAAAACATATGTTTACATTTGGACTTGGAAAATATATTATTTAATATGGACTAAGTGAAATTAGAGCTATACAAATGGCGATGACAAGGAATTTTATATTCATAAGATAGCTCTGGAAAAAAATTCAGAATTTTAACTCTTTCATGTTATAAGGGGATTAATAACTAATCCTTTAAGATCCAAGTAAACAAAAATTACAAAGTTAATTATTTATTACCATACAGGCGTGACTTATTTCTTAGTCTAAAACAATGCTTTTCAAACTTTAATATGCATAAGAATCACTTGAGAAGTTTGTTGAGAGTAGCAGAGTAGAGGGAATCTACTCCTAGAAATTTTGTATTGTTGGTTTAGGGAAAGACTGAAGAATTTTGATGTAGAAATCTAAGAACCACACTGGAAAACCTGTCAAATAGATAAATTACTTTTTCTAAGGAACTCAGAAAAGTTGACAAATTTCTTTCCTTATTGAGATTTCTTTCCCATAAAATTGTAGTTTTCCAACTCAGCATTGGACATCTCTTTGTCCAGTGGAAATTGTGCCAGTGATTTTTGTCATTGAATTCCATGCTTAGGAAAGCAAGGTCTACTTGTTTTTGACCTTGCCTAAAATTCACCACTCATCCTCCCTCTTGTTATAAAGAGAAACAGACAGTCAAATCCTGATCCCAGATTAAATGACTTAAAGCCAAAACACTCAGAAAACAGAGTATAAAGTCACTCTTGCCGCCAGTTTTCTTTGTGCCCCTTACAATTCCTTTCCCTGAACACAGTGGTTACTTGCCCTACCTCCTTTGGCCCCAGATCAATGTACTGGTGCTCTATTATCTGCTGACAAATTTTGCTGGTTACATGTGTCTTGCATCCGAGGCTCTCTTGCTCCTGAATTACCAATGTAGACTAGTCCACTTGTCTGCCAGATTACCATTGCTGCCTTTTGGAACCTCTGTCTTTTTGATTGTTCATTCTCTTCTCAACATTTTCACTACAACGTTTTCCTATTGTCTGTTACTGAACCTTCAAATGTCTTGCTCCATTGCTTGACTGGACCTATGTCCATCATTGGCAACTAAATCAGGTGCCCTAGCGCCTTCTGTAGGACAGTGGGGATAACTAATTCCAGATCCTGACTCCACTGTTTTCAGTTTAACGCAGTTAAGCCTGTCTGCCTGCATTTTCCAGATTACTATTTTTCAAACTCATCATGTTGAATGAAAGAAGCCCCACACCAAATAGTATATATTGTATTATCCCATTTACATAAAGTTCAATATCAAGCAAAACTAATTTCTGTGGATAGAAATTAAAATTATAGTTACATTGGGAGGGAAGTAAAGATTGACAAGGAAGTTTGTGCTGATTGGCTTATTAAAGATCAATAATAATGTGTCATATATTTGTTTCAAAACATGTATCTCCAAATATTGTTTGAAGCAGTGGTTAGGATTGAGGAAATGCAATTTCCTCAATGGGCTAGTTATTGCCCAATGAGCTAGTTACATAAATGTAAAGAAAGTTCTGGGACAAGAAGGGCAGCTGACTTTAAAAGGTTCAAAAAATTTCACCCAGTAAAGTTGAAAATCAGTATTCTGGGTGAAAAAGTGAACCAAAATAAGGGATCAATTCTGCATTGGAGATCTCTTTACTTATGTTGTTATGAAAACTTTACTGAGCCTGAAAAGCTTAGATTTAATACTAACAGACTTCTGGATTCTTTTTATAAATTGAGGCATGCAGTACATTCAGTAAAATATACAAATCTTGAGTGCACAGCTTTACAAATGGTTACATGTAGATGTACCTGTGTAACTTTCACCTACATCAAGATGCTACACATTTCCATGTCCCCAGAGTTTCCTGGTGCCCTTTCCCTATCAGTGATTCTCTTCTCTCTAACTATTTCGACTTCTATCCCTCTCGGTTAGTATTACGTGTTCTTGAAGTTCCCATAAATTGACTCAGACAGCATTATTCTTTTCTATGGTGGGTTTTGTTTTCAGATTTATTCCCCAACCAGAGATTTTCCCATGCATGTCATCACTGGGTCTGGGCTTCCCTGGCTCAAGTTCTTCAGAGATCTTACTTCTTCTCCTGCAATGTAGGGTAGAGATTTTTGCCTTCTATATTGAATGCAGATGGGACCCAATTTCCTTTCACAGGCTTTCATACAATCCTCTGTTTTAACCCTTCCACCTACCATGGCTACAGATGTCTCCAATTTCTCAGTTTCTCTGGAACTCTGTTGGTTGAATCGGTCTGCTTCTTATCACTAATAGGTAATCTATTTCTGTTCAACCATTATTTCCCTGAAAATTTGCCCACAATTTTACTTTACATTAAATATGATAGAGAAGAAGGATTTCTGGACAAAGAATTAGACAATGTGGGTATTAGCTGTGGTTCTTCTGTTGACTAGCAAAGTGACCTTGGGCAAATCATGTAGCTACTCTGGTTTGAAATTTGTAGTCCTCTGGTTTGTAACCTTATATTACAGGATAGTGCTAACAGTGAAAGAAACTTGTGACTTATGCAAGGTAACATTGCTACTAAATGGCAAAGAACCCAAGTCTATCTGACTCTATGTACTATGGTAGTGGAATTCAGGATGTTATGGATTTTCTATTGTTGCTGTAATATTGGCTGCTCAGTAAATGAAATATGCTATTTTGAAAAGAACATAGTTGGGATGAGGAAGTTAGACTAGCATATATATTCAAGGATTTTTCTATCACATTAGTCCATAATTTATGAAATTTATGTAACTTTCTTTCTTTCAATGAAAGCTTCTATTTGGTCAGTTCATATGTCCTTAAATTTCATACTTCCAATTACAACTCTTATTGTTTCCTCCACTGAAGCCAAGTCAGTTTACCTGTAATCTCTCACAGACATGTCTATTCTTAAATTCCTGAAGTACTTCTAAAGGTTTATTTAATTTTTTATTTTAATTTTTGTGGGCACATAAGTATATGTGTTTATGGGTTACATGAGATATTTTGATATAGATATTTTGATATTTGATATTTTGATATTCTTATTGTCCTTCCCTTCATACAGTGCATAATAATCACATCAGGGTAAATGGAGTATCTATCACCTCAAGCATTTATCTTTTCTTTGTGTTACTAACAATCCAATTATACTCTTAGTTATTTTAAAATGTACAATAAATTATTATTGACTATAGTCACCCTGTTGTTCTGTCAAATACTAGATCTTATTCAGTCTAACAGTATTTTTGTACCTGGTTAACACAGGTACCCTTGACCCTTCCCAGCTCCTGGTAACCTGCCCTGTGCCACCCCAGGCAGCTGCTCCTTGCATCCTGGGCCCTCTGGCTCCAGCCTCAGCTCAAAGGGCACCAGATACAGCTGGGGCCACTATTCCAAAGGGCACAAGTGGTAAGCCTTGGTGGCTTCCATGTGATGTTAAGCCTGTGGGCATGCAGAGTGCAAAAGTGAAAAAGGCTTGGCAGACACCTGCCTCCTCCTTCACCTTCTTCCTTGATTGTTACCTCCCTGAGGCTTCACCAGAAGCCAAGCTGATGTCAACACCATGCTTCCTGTAAAGCCTGTGGAACTATGAGCCAATTGAACCTCTTTTCTTTATAAATTCCCTAGTCTCAGGTATTTCTTTATAGCAATGCAAGAATGGCCTAATACAGGCCACTCCTAAAAGCAGCCTTTTTTGGGAATATGCAGGGCTTGAAAAATTCAGGTTAGCTGTTTCTTATACAATTTTTTAAAAATGTTCTTGACAATGGTCATTTAAGTTTCAGTGTTCAGGAACTTACTACTTCACAAGTAGCCCAATGCAGTTGTGGGAAGTGCTACCAACCTTATAATTTGTCCACCAGTAACTTTCTAATCTATTATTTATAATGCAAGATGAGAATAAAGTATTTTTAGTGGCCAGAATCAGAGAAGGAAAGACACCATCTTAGTTTAAGAAAATATTCTCTAAAGCAATTTAAGTGTGGAAGGTGAATATGTTCTGCATTTTAAAAAATCTGTAAGAACTGGAAGTTCAGTGAGAAATAACAGGAAAGAGAAGAGGGAGAGGAAGAGTTTATGGGTGGGAGGTTCTTATCCAAGGATTTGGACTAGCACAGGACAATGGTTACTGGGCTGTGCAAGAACCAGTGTTCAACAGCGCCACCGTGTGGCAGCCTTAGAATCACTTGTGGAACAACAGATTAGTTGCAGTTCTCTTTCTTCCCGTGGTACTTGGAAGCAAGAATTAAACCTTTGGGATAGATTGTGTGAACCCAGGTTTGTGAAATGCCATTAAGGGGAGAGAAAGCTAGGAAAGAGTGGACTTTGAGCAGAAGATACTAGACTTCCATTTTTTAGAAAGTAAAAGCGGTTTTACCTTCTCAGTCGTTATGTTGGTGAAGTAAACCACTTTTCAGACATATTCAAGCAATACTTTTTCCATTTCCAAAGCACCTTTACTTAGAATACTCCATTATTCCTATGGTTTTTGTCAAGACATATTTAAGTTTGTCATTGCATGCTTAGATTATAAAAAGTTTGACAAACAACATGCAGATACTGATTCCCCTGTGCTGGACATACACTTCTATTCCCACTCACCACTTCCCAAGATGAAAGCCCATTCTTTTTATGTTTTTTTTTTGTGTCTCATTTATGTTTGAGAATTTTCATTTGTTTGTGTTTAGCATTAGTTCAGTCTCTGTTGTTTTTCTATGTCTTTAAACAAATAATTACACATTATTTTTCTTTTTTTTTTTTTAAACAGGGTCTGTTGGCATTGCCCAGGCTGGAGTGCAGTGGCATGATCTGGGATCATTGCAACTTCTGCCTCCTGGGTTCAAATGATTCTCCAGCCTCAGCCTCCTGAGTACCTGGATCACAGGTGCATGCCACCATGCCCAGCTAAATTTTGTATTTTTTTGTAGAGATGAGGTTTCGCCATGTTGCCTAGACTGGTCTCATACTCTTGAGCTCAAAGTGATCTATCCACTTCGGCCTCCCAAAGTGCTGGGATTACAGACATGAGCCACTGTGCCCAGCCTACACTTATTTAATAATTATAGTAGTTCTATGAGTTGGCAGAATTTTTTTTAACATTTTCAGGTGTGTTTCCTCTGTCACAAAATGAGGGTATGTTGTGTGCTGTTTGATAGAAATGCAATATGAGCTACAAATGCACGCTACATAGGTAGTTTAAATTTTCCTAGTAGCTACAGCTTTACTAAAACAATTTAAAAAGCAGACAGGTGAAATGAATATTGTAATATATTTTCTTTAACCCAGTATATTCAAAATATTATTATTTCAACATGTGCACGAACTAATATAAATATTATTAATGAGACATTAGTTTTCATATTCTTTTACACTAAGTGTATTTTATACTTAAAATATATCTGAATTTGCATTAGCCACATTTCAGATACTCAGTAGCCATAAACAGCTTGTAGCTACTGTCTTGGCCAGTGCAGTTCTAAACAATCGATCTCTAAAGAAAATTAAGATTAATGTTGAACATTTTTTAATCTACTAAACCTCTACACAGCTAATACAGTGCTTTGTGAACTATTCTTATTGTCCTTCCCTTCATACTTTTAACACCTGCACTTAAAAGTGCCTTCCTGTGTTCTGGTTTCTTAAGAGCTCTTTCTTCTTTTTTCTTCTGGGATTATTTACAGTCACACAGTCAAAATTTCATATAGCAAAACCTCCTTTTGCATGCAAGTGACATTCTACTATATGGTCTCCTATCCATGGCACCATTTCTTTTTTTTTTCCGGTAAACTCCCTGAAATAGATAATCTAAAATGTAGGGTACGTGTCTGTCCATTTCATATTAATGAACCAATTCTTCCTTGTTCATCTGTATCTTACCTGTAACGTCCCTCTTGCTCCCTCCATTTTCTGAAAGATGTAATTGTCAGCAAGACAAGCACTTATCAGATGCTCTACTTATAGAAGAAGGAGACTCCAGTAGATACCCTGATAGTAGAAGTGCCCCATTTTTTTATCTTACTTCTGTGCCAGTTTCATAATTTCTATTACAAAAGTGTTATCTTGTAACCTTTATTTGTCTGGGTTAGATGAGAAATCTCTCACAATTATATTAGTTTTCTCCTGTATGCTCAAGGAATTGCTCAGTTGGTGAATTTGAACAGAAGTGTAGAGTCTTTGATATACAAAGTTTTCTTCCTCCTCTTCCTTCCAGATTTGTGACTGTTCAGACATAAGTCACACACCATCAAATATCAGCAGCACATCCCAAATTTCACCTGGAGGCCATAGGAATCTTACCATTTAAATCCCTAATTTTGTAAGATTAGGTCACTTAGGTCCAGAAAGCTGACTTCATGCTCATATACCTGACACTACTGAGACTCTCGACAGTTGTTTGTTAAAATTTAAATTCACTTTGTCAACCTTATAATTTTTATCAGTTGGTAGACACCTAAGACCAAAATCTTGCCTTTAATTTATATCTATATATCTATATCTATATATATAACATTTTGACTTGAAAGTGCCTTGGCATCACCTCTATTTTGCTAGTTCTTCCTTTGCACCATAGTAAACCCTTGATAATGGAAAATGAATGTCACATCTCTTCACTTCCATAATATTTAATTTTATATGAACTTTTTCTTCCCACCTAAACGTTCTTTTCAAAGTCTTGGTTATGTCAGAGTAAAAGTGGTCTTTACAGTGGCCCAGAAAGTACTATGCCATTCCCCATCCTCTGACCTTACCCACTGCCACTCCCCTCCTTACTCAATCAGCTTCAGCTACCCGGGCCTCCCTGCTGTTCTTCAACACACCAAGAACACTTCAGCTTCAGGACATTTGCACTTGGAGTTGCCTTTGCCTGCAATATTCTTCTCATAGATATCTAGATAGCCACTTGGCTTGCTTCATCACATTCTGTCTCTAATCCATCCTATGTAAACTAGAAAACACCCTCTCCTATCCCCTGCATTTCCTCTCAAATCCTGCTACATCAAGAGCTAAATCAAGTCCCTCAAAAACTGTTTTGTCGACTTCTGGCAGTTGCCACTATAACCACTGGAGATTAATTCCCATCCAAGAAGCTGAGCCTCCGACAGAGTCCATGTTGGTGCCTCACTGTCCTCATCTCCCCACCACTCAACTCATTCTTCAGAACTTGTTCTTCCTAGATGCACTTCCATCTCCCCCACAGAGCATTTTAAATTTTCCCACTTCGTCATCATTGCAGAGTTTTGACTGACGGGTGATGACAAATTTCTTCAAAGACGTTGATTTTTATGCAGGGTCTATGCTTTATATTTTAAAAGTAAAAAGCCCATTAAGAAAGCTTTCTAGGAATGAATGGAGATCTGCCTAAGTAGTTATTCAAATGTAGATGGGATAAAAATGGGAATATATACAGGTATGATCTTTTATTTTACTTCACTTTCTAAAGGAGAGTCTTTTTTCCTTTTCTCTTTCTTTTTTTCTTTCTCTCTCTCTCTCTTTCTTTCTTTCTTTCTTTCTTTCTTTTTCAGCTTTCTGGACCTTTCTTATGCTGAGCACATGGGGATAGAATTGCAAAAAGACAAAGGGACTCAGTTGACCTCTCTAAGAAGAGGTGAGGAAGAGGGAGTAGCAGGTAGATAGCCAGTAACAGATGGCTGAGGAATGAGGAGTTTGGGGTATTTAGACTGATATAAAACAGCTGCAGGACAGAGTGGAGTTTTAGGATAAAGGAGATAAGATGATGTTCAGAATTCAAAGTGTGTGTGATATTAAGTCTCACTCTGCCTCCCATGAAGAAACTTGTGGTGTATCAGAAATCCTCTTAGCCTAGACGGGCTGGACAGGCAACTGGTTGATTTATTTAAAAATACATAATTATTGTGGGATTAAAAATGATTTATGTAGGAGTTTTATTTTAATTGAAAGTACATACTTTGAGGTAGGACCAAGGCCTATTAAGTCAATTTGAGTCAGTCTGACAAAGATATCTGCATCTTACTTGCATTAACTCTACCCACAATAATTTTAATTTTAATTTTCTTTAAAGTAGAGCATGTCCTTAGGAGTACCCTATGAAGTAATTTAAGGGCATAATTTAAGTAATAATTATGTTTTTTGTTTAATAATTATGTTATAAATAGCTAATTTAAGTAATAATTATGTTTTTCATAAAATCTCTGATTTTAACAGTTGTCTCACCCACACCAACTAAACAATAGTTTAAGTGATTTTCAAGTATTCTAAAGCATTCAAACTTGTTTTATCTTTTTAAAATACAATCAATGACTCTTTCTTTTCACACTTCTCATTTCATTGGTTTATCTAATAATAAATTGTGTATTTGCCAAAACAAGCACAACTGGTGTGAGCCAGTCTGGGCACAAACACTGCTGACTCTACCTAAGCAGAGAAATTTAACTGTTGGTAGCAGAAATATGTCAGTACCAAAGAGTCAAATAGCTCTTTCTCTGCAGGTATCCAGAATGTCATGGTTATCATACAGTTTGATATAAAGAATGAAAAGCATCCCAGTCACTTCAATGCTTCTTGGAGTCTAACTTGTGTTTCTTTTAGAAAGAATCAAATTCAAGTTCATCCTGTATAATTAAAATTACACAAATCTCCACTGCTTATAACATAGAGGATTGTGTAAGGCTCGGAGTCTATCTTTACTAGGTTTTATACTTGCCATCCAGGTTTCAAATGTCTTAGGGCTAACTTTTGCAAAACACAAATTACTGTTACATTCCATACTGCCACCAGTAGTCATAAGAAGAGACATGAAGATGATAAAAGAACTATTTCCTCTTATGCTTTAACTCCAGGCATAATTGTCTTTTTCATATTGCACTTTGATCTTTATATAACTACAAGTCTTTCTCATGTTTCCTGTAAATGATTTTTGAAATGACTTGTCTTGTTATCATACTAGTTCTGGGGGCGATAGCATGGTTTAATAGATGGAGTTAGGCAGACAGAAATTTGGATTCCTGGAATCGTAGCTCTGTGATGTTGGGCAGTTTGATTAAGCTTTGTTATCCTCACCTTCAAAATAGGTGTTAATATAAGCCATATCATAGAGTTGTGAGAATAAATGACACAATATTTGTAAAGGAGCTAGCACAGCGCCTGGCACATAGTAGGCATTTCCATCCAGGCTAACTATCATTAGCAACTACTGTCTTTCTCAGTTTTCATTCTATCCCAGGGATGATGTTATCACTCCTCAATATATTACTATCGTAACTCACTGTTCTTTGAAAATTACATCAGCGATATAACTAGAAGAAGTCATATGGGGCAAGCAGAACAAAAGATGAGATTGAAGACATGAACCCAGCCTCTATTTCTGACTTCTTCAAGTAAACCACTTGAATAAGAACATTTATTCTTATTCAGCAAAAACATTTTGATGACCTGATTTAAAAGTATCAGTGAAGCAATGCCTTACTTTCATATCCCTATATGATTTATATTTTTGTTTTGATATTTTTACTCTGTACAGTTTAAGTGTCTCCTCCATTCAATTGATTCCATTTGAAAAGATGGTTTATTTTAAAGGAAAGTGCTTGGGTTGTAAAAAGGGTCTGCACTACATCAAACACATCTCCAAGGCCAGTGTAGAGTGCTCCTCATAGGCATTAAATAAAGCTTCAAACAGGCTGCATTACTGGGCTCACGCAGCTTGTACTCCACAGCCAGTTTCAATTTCACTAAAAGGAAAGAATTGGTAATTAATTATCTAGGCCATGTAATGAGTTTCCATTACTTGGAATTCAATAAAGCTCTTTCATTGTGACCAGGCTGATCAATAGCACTGAAGGGTTAATAGAAACCATAGATACAGCTGGGATAATAGAATGGCTATAGGAAATTAGGCTGGGTCCCTGAAGCACTCTTTCTTCTCTCTAGGGAATGGAAGCTGCTCAGTAGTTCCTTTTTTTAGAACACTCTGTGAGGCTTTGTGAAATGAGTAGGCTATTGTGTTACTGCACAAGCTAATGGAAATTACCTTTACAAAATCCATATGCTCTTGGAGCTGGAATGGCTTTGGAGATTATTTAGTTATGTTACTCATGGATCATCATGCCTTTCAGTTAGACATTTTTTTTTGGACCAAGTGATGCCATCTTTATCTTCAACACCAAACTACCCATCTCCTAACTGCTATAGCTGATTAGATAAAAAGTGTAACTGACCAAAAAAAAAAAAAAAATAGCCAATCCTTGGAGTGGCAAGAGGCTTATGCAATTGCTGCAGTGAAAGGAAGGAGGTGGGCAATCGATTTTCTATGGAATTTTAATCTGCAACTAAGGAGAGAATGTGTTTAACTAGGGGTTAAAAATGATGGACTCTACAGAGATACCGGAGAGTGTGCCTATGAGGAAGGTTTAGGACAAATCAGATTCATGTGTGCAGCAGTCTCCCAAGAGAGGAAGGCCACACATTCCAACTTATCAATAGAGGCCAGGGGGCATAGCTGGTGCTTGAGGGCTTTCTTGTTTTGGTGGCAATCTGTCGTATTTTTCTATAAGAACTATATTTTTCTTAAGATAACTTGGAGTGTGTCTCTGTTTCTTGCAACCAAAAGATTCTAAGTAGAATCCTGGTCCAATTCCTGCATTTTCCAAGTGAAAAGACCAATTCTTGAGAACATGATACAATACAAGGTTGATGGCGACTTTTCCAGGATATGATGATGGTTTCCACAGACAGCTGCGACAATATCTCCTAATCAGCATGCCCTTCTGCAACGTGATCTTGCCACTTCTTCATTTAGAGGCAGAGTGTATGTCTCCTCTCCCTTGAATCTAGGCAGACTCTGAGTGCTTTGACCAAGAGAATATAGCACAAGTGACATTGTGCCAGTTCTGGGCATTGTTCTTAACTGGCATGGAAGCAGTAGTTACTGCTTCCTCTCTCTTAGAAGCCAGCATCATAAAAGAAGCATGCCTTCCTTGAGACCACAGAAACCCCAGGCACATGGAGACTCCCTGGATGACGAGATGCTGCATGGAAAGACAGACCAAGAGAAAGAAAGAGAGAAGAAGAGAGGGACCGAGGAGGACACAGAGAGACCAAAGAGTACTTAGATGGCAGTCACCTTAGCAATAAGCCATCCTGGAAGTGAATCCTCTAACCTCAGTCCCTCCAGTTGCTGTCACACATATTAGAGATGAAGCCTTCAGCCAAGTCCTGTCCAAGTTCCTGACCTATAAAATCTTGAGCAAAATAGAGTACTGTAGTTATTTTAAATCATTCAGCTTTGGGTTAGCTTGTTATGCAACAACAATAATCAAAACACAGGGTCACTTGGCTTTCAAATGAGTTTTCTGTCTATGGTGTGTCAATTTTATTGGAATAAAACAATGTATTTAGCAACACATCCAAATGCTTTTTCAAGCTAACACTTTCTTTGGTAAACAAAAAAACACAGGAATGTCACCTTAAAGTCACAGGGACATTTCAGACAAAAACTCAAATGGTGTGAGGCATGTAATTTCATTAATCCTCATTTACAACACCGTGGAGGAAGATATAATTTGACTTCACTGTATGGGTGGAGAAGATGAACAATTTAGAAACATAGCCTCAAGATTCTACCATGTGTCAGTGATGCCAAATTTTCAGATTTTCTCACTGATGGTTACTCATTGTCTGGGTTCCAATAGCTGGAGATGGTTATATTTACATCATGGGATACCCATGCCATAAAATTGGTAATTGGTCAGATTCCATTTGTGTTGCCAATTTGTGACTAATATCTGACTGGTCAGAAAGAAACTGCTTCCAATTTTTTCAAATCCACATTAACACTTGTTATCATCTGTCTTTCTTATGTTAACCATTCTCATGGGTATTAAGTGGTATTCCTAATGACTGATGATGCTGATTATCTTTGCATGCATTTATTGACCATGTGTATATCTTCTTTGAAGAATGTTCCCATTTTAAAATTCAGTTATTTATCTTTTTATTGTTGGATTGCAAGAGTTCTTTATGTATACTGCAAGAGTTCTTTATATATACTGCATATTAGACCCTTATCAAATATATTATTTGCAAATATTTTTTCTCCTGTAAGACATTGATTCTTAACCAATTTTTGTATCATGTGCAGCATTTTAAGTATCTGATGAAGGCATGGACACTCATCCAGTCGAGTGTACATGCCCATGAAATTTTGAATACATTTTCAGATATTTTTACAAAGATCCCGAAGCCTTAAGAAACCCCAAGAGCTTGTGTCTTTCCCCTATCTCCCCAGGTTTTGCTTTTCTCTAGGATTATGTACATACAGTCTTACAAAAGGAAACTCCTTGCAATGAGAGGAAGAAAACAATTCTCTTGGTGGGTAGCTTGAAGATTCCATTTAGTGACAGAATAGCCTTATTGGGACCACACAATTCTCTATAAGGCTGAGTATGCTGGGTCTTCAGAGAAGAGAGGAAAACTGTGTATGAGACAAACAGATATTTTTTTCTACTCCTGGATGGAGTAGGAAGAAGGGAGAGAACTATAGGCAACGGAGAAACCGAGAGGGGGTTAGAGAAGATAATTCCCAGGGCATATCCTGATGAATTGCAAGTAAATGGATGTTTTTCTAGGGCTGATCAATGGCACTTTCTTAACTATCTTTGTCATGTCTGCTTCTCAACTGGAGAGAAAAACGATGAAGTGGAACAGTGAGAACTATTTAAACAGACAACTGGGAGCCAGAGGCTGAGTAAACATTTAGACCTTCCTATTTTTCTAAGGTCTGTTGGAAAAAAAATATCATGAATCTGAATACTAATTTTTTAGACATGCAAAGTTACCATTTAAGCCAAACTCAATGTCTTGTGACAAATTTGCTCCTTTCTGTCTAATATCATTATCTTTGGTTTAAAAAAATAATCAGAAAAATTGTGCTCATTGTTTCAGAAGCTATCAGGAACTTCAAGCCATCATAGAAATTTAGCATTTAAATGTTAGAATTTAAGTCTTTTACCTAATTCCCTACTCATCATGCCTGGTAAAAGGTCATTTAGATTTTGCTTGAAGGCTTTTGATGATGGGGAAGTCACCACCTCATAATAAGGAATCCAGTTGACTTGATCTTTGGGCAGTTCTAACTCTTAGAAAATTCCTTCTTCACTGAGCTGAATTAAGCCTGTACTATCATCACTGATATGTAGCATCATACCAATGTTCCAAATGTCCTACCTAGTGGACATAAATCATAGGTATTCTTTATTTAGCACCATCTATAAGTCAAACACTTACGTGATAGGTGTTGTATATTAATATGTACTTATGATTAATCTTTACAATTCAGGAAGGCAGGAGTATCCTTCCTATTTAATAGGTTGGATTGAGAATTGTATTCATGTTTCAGAGATAATAACAGAAAAACTGGAATATGAACCTTGGTCTATATGATGCCAGAGTTTGAGTGATTGCTACCATGCAACACTGTCTAGCTAAGAATGGTCTACTTTTTTTTTTTTTTTTTTAATTTTTTTTTTTTTTTTGAGACCGAGTCTTGCTCTGTCGTCAGGCTGGAGTGTAGTGGCAGAATCTCGGCTCACTGCAACCTCTGCTTCCCGGGTTCAAGCGATTCTCCTGCCTCAGCCTCCCGAGTGGCTGGGACTACAGGCACATGCCACCATGCCCTGCTGATTTTGTATTTTTAGTAGAGATGGGGTTTCACCATGTTGGCCAGGGTGGTCTTGATCTCCTGACCTCATGATCCACCTGCCTTGGCCTCCCAAGGTGCTGGGATTACATACTTTGTTTTTACCTGAAAGGTTTAAATAATAGAAGATCATGCTGTTTTTCACTGTGCCTACCTTCTGTTCCCTCCTCAGCAAGCAAATAGCATTAGATTCTTTGAATCAAAATCATCTGTTGAATATTTTTGTTACAAAGCTCTGTGCCAGCTGCTCTAAACAACATGATTTTTGAGTGGGAATTTGGCTTCTTAATGAATTAACTCACAACCTAGTAGCTACACCAGAAAGTAATACTATTAAGGACTATTTTTGTGGGACAAAGCACAATGGAATATGGATGATGAATAACCAGGTCCATCGAATGCTCTGCCTTTGGAATTATTTTGTTAGTTCATAGTTTTTTCATCTCTTTACAGCTTCAATTTTCACTTTCTTGATGTTGCCTTTCTGCTGGAAATAAGTAGATACCTAGTCGGTAGCTCGATAAATGGTAACGTGTTTCTATTTCTTTGTTCTGGTGGGCAACTAGATTTAAACACAAGATTTAGACAAGCTAGCTGGGAAATTTCTATTTATCAGTTGAGTTAGATGTGCATCAAGGCAGATGGTCCTAAAGAGATAGAAGTGGAATTGAGAAGTCTCCATTCTTGATGAATAGAGTCTGTAGAGGCAATGTGGCCAATGGGGTCTCACTTTTAACCACAGATTTTTAAGTTTTAAAAGTTTGTTTACTCATATTGATATTATACAGCAGGCTCTTGAATAACAAGTGCTAAATAACTGTTATCTGTAGGCCTTGAAGATTTCTGCAACACCAGGCATGGGCTGTTAAATGGAACTTTCATTGTATTCCCCATCTTGTGATGCATAATGAGGTCTTATGTTAGACGAGAGACATTGTAGATGAGTGCACACTACAACATTTATGGGAACAAGAGAGTACATTGATATCATATTTCATATATATTTATAACTTTGAACTCCTCATGGACTTGTTCTTAGACTTTTGACTAGAAATAAATTCTTCACTATTTAAACAATGTTTTCCCAAACCTTTATGTACCTAGCACCATCCAATTTCTTTTTTATGCCTTGTTATCTCAGGGACACAGTGGGAATTGAAAACCAGTGTTTTTAATAAAAAGGTCTTATATTGGTGAACAGGGAATTGAGGACTTGGAAACTTCTAATTATGTAGCACAGGCAATGAATGCAGGCTGCCTCTGAGTTTACCCTGGTTCCTTCATCCAGCCTGGCAGGCACTGTGGAGGGGCCTTGCACACTGTGTGCTGGGAAGGCATGGTGGGGGGAGAAGAATCTTTTACTGAGAAGGCAAGAATAAAAGGGGTAGAGAGAACTAGGCATGTGATAAAAGCACATAAATCTGTTTAAATATATTCTTAAGATTGCTTTAAAATATTTGGTTCTGGCCTTTCAGAAGAGTCCTGGGGTTTTCAGACTTGAGGCGAAAGGATGATTGTATGAGTCAAGCTGCCTCAGGAATGTTGTTTGTAAATGATAATTTCTTCATTAGTTCTCATTAATTCATTCATTCTGCCAATATTTGCTGAGTGCCAGCCGCTGTCCTAAAGCTGGAGTTCTAGTGATGAACAAGATTGACACAGCCGAAACTCTCATGAAATTCTGGAGACTCTCAGAGGCGTGTGGCCTCTGATCTCACAAGGTAAAAAGAACCCAAATTTCAGATAAAAAGGCATTTATTTTTGGTTAAAAATATTTCCTTTAAGAAACCATCTCCATGTAGTGCAATAATGTCACAGGATTTTAAGACTGAAAGGCTCATGCATTCACGTGATAAATATTTATGAGCTAGTATGTTACAAAGCAGTGCCACTGTCTCCGCTAACATTGTTAAAATGGTCAAGACATACAGGTCTGGTGTCCCCCCTTCCCTGAAGGATGGGACTTTACATACCTATGCTGTGGTTCAAGATGTGTTGATTGTGTATCTTGATCTCAGATAGCAATCTCCTCTCACTCCACAGTAATTTCTGAATTCTAGAAAAAGCCTTAATGTAAGCTCCAGGTATTCACAATTTGTTGTGTCTGTCACATGAGATGTCATGGGGTTGTAGCTAATAGGAGAGGAAGAATGAAAGGCAGTGTTAAAGTTTATTTATTCTGTTCTCTCATTTGTAAACAAATTACCTGAACTCAAGAGAGCAGAAGGCACATAGGAGTGACAGAGCCAGTGCCAGGCTGTCCAGTTTTCAGGCAAGTCAACTTTCTAGCTCATCATCTTTCTGTATGGCCATTATGATATTTCTTTGGAATAAAAATTGCTTACCAGGATAAAGGGCAGGTCTTTGTCTCTCTCATTTACCACTGTATCCCCAGTGTCACAATAATGTCTGGTATGTAGCGGATGCTCAATGAATGTTGGTGAAGGAATTAATAAATGAATGCTATAAAGGCTTTTATCAAAAGTAAGTACGACTTAGAGAATATAGTGAAAAGTCAATTAATCCAGCTTTGCCAATAACATACAAAATCAATATGCATGTGGATTTGGAATTTTTCATTGGCTTTACTGATCTTTACGATGAGTGTCTTATTAGTCATCTGAATCGCTTTCTGCTGCCTGAATTTCTAGAATAAAACAGCAGGGAGGAGGGTTCCATGGTGTAATGGTTAGCACTCTGGACTCTGAATCCAGCGATCCGAGTTCAAATCTCGGTGGAACCTTTCATATTGGCTGGGTGCTGTGGGAGGCCAAGGTGGGCAGATCACGTGAGGCCATGAGTTGAAACTCAGCCTGGCCAACATGGTAAAACTAAAAATACAAAAATTCAAAATTAGCCGGCATGGTAGCAGGCGCCTATAATCCTAGCTACTTGGGAGACAGAGGCTGCAATGAGCTTTGCCACTGAACTCCGGCCTGGGTGACAGAAGGAGATTCTGTCTCAGAAAAAAAAAAAAAAAGGTCCACAAAATCAGAAATTATTCTTTCATCCAACAGGCAGTTGGTCATATACAGAGATTCCAAAGGAATTCCTTACAGATTCTTATTTTTAAAATAACACTAGCTAGAGAGGAGAGGTCATAGGATGGTTTAATTCATGCCATGTACCCTGACCCACAGACACTTGTGACAATGTGTCTGTGTCACAATGTGTCACTGACACATTAGTAAGTGCAGTGATGGGCTGTATAATGAGGTTTCAGCCAATGATGAACAGCATGTGTGGTGGTGGTGCCCTAAGATTATAATACTATATTTTTACTGTACCTTTTGTATGCTTAGATACACAAATATTTACCATGGTATTTCAGTTGCCTACAGTATTCATACAGCACTATGATGTACAGAGTTGTAGCCTAGGAGCCATAGGCTATACCATGTAGCTTAGGTGTGTAGCACAGATGGCTGTGCCATCTAGGTTTGTGTAATGTTTCCACAGCAATGAAATCACGTAATGACACATTTCTGCGAATGTATCCCTACTGTTAAATGGCGTATGACTGTAAACGACATCCCAGAATGGAGAAGGTTGCTTACGTAAAGAAGATTGCTGTTTAGCTAGAAGATGCAGTTGATAAATACAACAGTTATTTGAGAAAAGAGAAAGGGCTCAGTTTCTTTGGGACACTATGCTGGCAGTTAAATAATCTGTTTTTAATTTTGTCTCTCTAATCTAATGACCCAAAATGAATTATTTCTTGGCATATGCACTGAAGAGAAAGGTTCCAGCTTGTTCTATGTACCACAGACTATTCCAAGTTTATTTCACCACCATTCACAGTGTCCAAAGAATGTTTGGGGTTGTGAATGGAATCAGTTAAAGAATAGCCTATTATTTATGCACCTAAGTTAGCTGAAAGTAGACACCATAAAACATATTTTGGAAATGAAATATGTTTTTCCCTATCAAAGTTATCTAATAAGGTACAATTATACCCAAAGGCAGTAGGATTTGATTTTTATAAATGATAACATAGCAGGGACCCATGTTCAAGCAGTTTGGACTTGATGTAAGTCAGCTGTCTAGATAATTAAATGATGCAAGTTCTGATTCTAGGCAAATCATTACCTGATTTAGTAACCTTCTGTGCTCCTTTGCCTGACTTAAGAGTTAGGAGACAGTATATTTTGTCTCTTTTCTGCCAATAACATTCTGTATGACCTTGGAGAAGCCACTTAGATACTCCATGTCTTAATTCACTTGTTTATAAAATGGAAATAATAACCACACCAAGGCCACTTATTACAGGTTGAATTGTATCCTCCAAAAATATGTCGAAACCCCAACCCCAGGAACTATGAATGTGACCTTATTTGGAAATAAGGTCTCTGCAAAGGTAATGAAGTTAAGATGAGGTCATTAGAGTGGACCCTAATCCAATTTGACTGGTTTCCTTATAAGAAGAGGGAAATTTGACCATGGAAAACATACAGAGAGAACTCCATAAGGCAACAGGTGAGAGATGGCAGGGATGCAGCTGTACACCAAGGGATGGGGGCACCGACGGCACCAGCACAGCTGGGAAGAGCTGGTGTAATGGATGCTACCCGGAGTCTCAGGAAGGATGGGAAGGATGGTAGTCAGAGTCTCGGGGGGAGCATGGCCCTGCTGACACCTTGATTTTGGACTTCTGGCTTCCAGAACTGTAGGAATATAAATTTGTGTTGTTTTAAGCTACTGTATTTGTGGTAATTTGTTACAACTGCCTTAGGATTTGATTTTTATAAATGATAAATAGGATTTTATTTTATCCAATCAAATATAATAAATTGCCTAACTAATAAACTAATAAATTGCCTAACTCACAGGGTGGTATGAAACTAATAAATTGCCTAAATCATAGGGTGGTATGATATGATATTAATACTATATGTAAAAATATTTCTACATCTGTTAGAACAGGATAAATTGCTGTAGCAATATATAGATCACTTTATCTTTTTTAACCCCAAGAGATATCCAAAAGGAACTTCTGTAAAGCAGACAGTGTTAGGGAAAAGCCAAATTAAAAACTCTGTTAGAAATGCTTTTTATGATTAAAAGAAGATTTTGTTAACAAGATTTTAGCCTTGACAAATTATCTCTAGTAGAACCCTGAAAATACAGCATTTCACTAACATGTTGGAACAACCATTTTCTTCCTTCTTTGATTTTTATGTGTTTAAACCATTTCTTTCCCTGAGTATATGAGTTTTCTTCAAGGAAACTTGAGTGCCTTATTCATTACACTTAGAGTGTTGGCTTTGCCACAGGCTACACAACAATCAGAAAATAAAAACGTAGTAAAACTTTTAAAAAATTTTATGATCCTTAACCACAAAAATCCCCTCCATAGGTCTGATTCTCCATTAAACACCCTCAAACAAACCACGGTAATGAAATTCTATCACACTGTAGTCATTGCACAATTATCTCTGTTAACCTAAAAGAATCATTAGTCCGAAAAACACATTCAGCATTTAAAAAATTATGTTGAGCTTTAGAAAGTATTGTGGCATATTGCCCCCTCTATATACACATATGAAAGGAGTGACTATTGTTTTATATGTATATATACACACAAACATATACACATATGTATATAATAATAATTATTATAGATAATTGTTATTAGTTCCTTTTTATTTTTCAGAATTTTCTTCTACTTCTATTGGTCTAACCAGGAGAGAGTTAAATGTATCAGACTGAAAACTGGAGAAACTTTGGAGGTTATCAGGTTTAAATCCCCTCATTTTAGAGATAAGAGAAGCAGAGCATAGCTTTTCAGTGACCTGTTGAAGGTTGCACAGGGATTTGGTGACAGAATAGATTTCCAGTTGCCTGACTTTCAGTCCGGCGCTCTTTCTTCTCTAAAACCATAGTGGTCATACAGACTTGTATTAGTTCTTGGAACTCTCACTAGCTCTGTGACCTTGGATGAGACTCTCAAATTCTCTAAACATGCCTTTACTTGTTTGTAAAATGAGAATAAAAAACCAGGCTGGTAAAAGCTGGAGTACAACCAAAACAAAAATATGCAGGCCACACAGTATTACCCAAGCTGAAAAAAGTTCAGCTTCCCATTATCCCATCCCCACACTACATCAATGACTGCTTGTCTCTCTGTCTCAGCTCAGTCATCAGTTTCTGGGGCATTTCTTCATTGACCCTTGGGGACTTGCACAGGATCCTTCTTTCTGAGCTTGTAGTCCCTGGGGCTCTACCTAGTGTATATGTACCACGTTGCTGTAGTCCAGTTGCCAGGTTATTGAGCTGTAGGTACTTGATAGCAGAAACTATTTATACTCATTATTATACCTTGGCACTTAAGACAGTACTTAACAAATAGGAATTGCTCAATGAATGATCAATCAATAAATAACAAATACTAGGGGTAGATATATTGAAAATAGGTCTGTATTCTCGTGGAAGGAATTCCATAACTGCTACCAGTGTAAAGGTTGGATGAGCTCTCACACATTGTATGGATCACTTTTCCAAATGATTTTTTTTAACCTTTGTAATTATATTTTGCTTGGGGTACTGATAAAATAAATTTCCTTGTAGTGCTTGAGCACATACTGACTAAAAGTGGAGAAAAGATAGCTAGTTTAGAGCAATCATAGTTTCCCTGCAGAAAATTCAGTTTAGAATCATGTCCTTGCTGAGTATAAGCTATGGAATACTGTTATTTGTAAATAAACTGAAGATGCATGAAGTGTGAGAAGTGGTTGTAGAAGAGGTGAAAGAGCTCCAAGATTGTTGTCAAATTTCCTGGGCCTGAGTCTGTGTTTCAGTGTCCTATTAATAATGCAGGATAACAAAGTCCACCTCAAAATTTTTGAGGAGAATCAATAAGAAAATGTTCATGAACACGCCTATGAATGGGAGGAAGTATAATTATTAGTTTGATTAGACAACTGGAGAATAACCATGAAGTCCTCTGCTTGCTTTAGTATCCAGGACCAGAAAATTAAGAAAATTGGCCATTTAATCTTATTTAAAAGACTTGGAATCTGTTGACAGTATGCTAGGGTTTGCTCGGCCACTGATGCTCAGTGACTCTGTGGGAATGCTCCAGGCAGAACTTGGCATGGACAGACGTTAACTGCTAGAACATCTGATGCTAACAGTAGAGAGCTGAATACATAGTAGCACTCTTCCTTTGATCCTAGAGCTCTGTTCTAACATGTATTTCAGAGGATTAAAGCCTGAAAATTTCAAATTATTTCTTTCCAATGGACCTCTTATCTGCATGGTTCCTGAAACGTGAGTTTACGTCTACCCCAGGATACATGGAGTTGAAGGTCATAATGCCAATCACACTTGCCTGAGAAATTCAGGTAAACTGTATTGTTGTGCATACAGTTCTTCTGAGGGAACAATACATCAAGCCAGGTCCCATGGACTGCTCTATGAAAGGGCCCATACCAGTGGGCTGAGGCAATGATTTCTAGAGGCAACAAATATCTCCAGCTATTACTAAAACATATTCTGAGAATGATACCATTTAGTCAATCTCACGATTATCAAGACAGAATCTCCTCTGTCATACCCATCTTGTCTTCCAAGAACACGTGAGACCTTCGGACTTATTTTTTCCTTTAAGTATTCTTTAGTTTAACCCATTGTAGACAAGTAGTTTATGGATTGGTTAGAAGAGACACAGCCACTACCACTAACATGCACACCTGGTATAAAATTCTTTATTTCTTTATTATTTGTTTTAAGATGGACTCTCGCTCTGTCGCCCAGGCTGGAGTGCAGTGGCGTGATCTCGGCTCACTGCAAGCTCCGCCTCCCGGGTTCACGCCATTCTCCTGCCTCAGCCTCCCGAGTAGCTGGTACTATAGGCGCCCGCCACCACGCCGGCTAATTTTTTGTGTTTTTAGTAGAGACGGGGTTTCACCGTGTTAGCCAGGATGGTCTCAATCTCCTGACCTCGTGATCCACCTGCCTCGGCCTCCCAAGGTGCTGGGATTACAGGCATGAGCCACCGCGCCCGGCCACCTGGTATAAAATTCTAAGGATACTTGGCATATTTAGCCAAAGATACAGAACTTCCCGTAAGTGAGGAGGGTGCACGGGTACACCATGTAGGATCAGATGCAATGTCCCCTTAGACAAAGGGTCTTCTTTTGTCTCCAGATGCCATAGCTGCTGACATTCTCTAAATAGGTGAGATCCCATCAGAATTGAGAAAAAAGTCGAATTCGTGCTAGGCTACTGCCCTTTTATGTTCGGGCTTAAATTTTCAATTCCTCAATTCTGGGAGAACTTATGTTAATCATCTATGCCTTCCACTTAAAGGAATATTTACAAAACTATGTCCTTCTGATTCTCAAACCAAATACATCATCAACAAATCCACATCCTCATCTAGGCAACAAGAACAGATTAAGTATTCCTTGAATAAACATGTACATTTTCAGCTTCTCTGTGTCCTAGAAATCTTACATCCTTTATACCTGTTGAAAAATATTCTTTGGTGGAACTTGTAACGATGAGGTGGGAAGCATCGAGTATAATTTTCCCATAAGTAGAATTATAGGGGTGATGATGTTACTTTGCTCTCTCCAGAATGATACCTTGGAGAGGGTTCAAAAATCCCATCCCTCGGCAGTTATGGTATCTCCCAGCCATGGGCATAGAGGATGGGAGATGCTGCAAGTTGTGAAGAAATCATTCTACTTAGTCTACTGCTGACACTTGCTCTTTTGGTTTATAATGCACAAAAGAGGATTTTCTTTGTTATCTCCCTAGAGCTCTCTCTCATTTTTTAGAGAATGCGAAAGTTCAAGGAAGGTTTTTAATATTTTAATACTATTCGTTTAATACATTTTCACCCTTTTTGCAGAAGGTTCATAGAATAGGACGTATAGATGGCCTCATCTGTTTGTTTTTAATTTTTAGATAAAACCAGGTAGATTTCCAATATAATGACTGTTTAAAAATCTCCCTCTCCATGTATTTTATCAACTTTATATAAAGACATTTGTCTTTTATATTACAGATGAGACATTATAGATTTCCGCAATTTTTTTAATGTTACATGGGATTTAGTCATTTCAATTATGACTTAATATTTGAGTAATGCCACTACTCTCCAGATCTTCTATAATTACAATTCAATTTGTCAGAATTTACTTAATAGCCATGTGCCTAAGCATAAGGGAAACACTTGGTCTGTTTAGCAAACCTTCTGTCAGAGCAGAAATACAAGAAGATTGTAGCTGGCGATTACTGTTTTAGTGTGGGTAGGGTGTGCCATATGATGCAAGATGACTCCTGCCAACTAAGTCAGCAAAGGCTTTTGTTTAGCAGAATTCTGTTTAATAAAAGAAAGAGTTTTGATAAATAGTCTTGTCTCAGATGGATTAAACTATTGATTTACCAATACTGTTCCTATCTTGACCCAAGGGGACACAGTGGATGCCACTTAGAATATTACAAACCCTCTGCCATATGCATGTTGTCTAGCCCATGCTTCAACCCTATCACCTTTCAGCAGATTGCTTTAGACAAGAGATCTCATGGGCAAGGAATCTGCAATGCATATAAGCTTACTTGCTGATTTAATACAAGAGAGTCCTAGACATTGACCTTGTCTTGAGTTATTCTAACTTGGCAGGGCTGTAACACTGCAAAGACCTGCAAATCCCTTTTTAACAAGGCTACCTGAACCAAATGGCACTGATCCAAATACATGAAAATTTAAAGATGTCCAGGAGATCAATAGATTACAGTATTAAAGAGTAGGAAGACTGACACTGCACTTAACTCAGGTCTACTTGTTTATCCAGTCAAGGATTCTGTCTTCAAGCATAATAGCTGCTCTGTTATCACTTTATAAATTGCTGTGCATATCATTTCAGTAATGAACTGAGAGAAGGCATTCTGTTTGAAGATGTTAAAGATACCAAATGTCTCACTAATATCCCCAGATGTTCAATTATTTGAAGGAAACTATTTAATCTCTAAGCAGGTTGCATTTTTAATTTTCCCAAAAACAGCGGGTAGGATGGATATTATAATGTCGATAGAGCCCAAGGTCTTTGAAGCACCCAAAGGCATTGTAGGCCAACCGAAGTGGTTCTCAAGGAAAGAGGCAGTCCAAGAATGGGACGCAGGTGCTTACAATTCTGCTTACAATTCTTTTCTTTCATCATAAAAAATATTCTATAATTTTTCAGGGTGAGAGAGAAATTGGAATACCTATTAACTTGGCACTAAGTAAATCTAAGTTGGCAAGATTTATAGTGTACCCAGTGCAGAAAAGTTCATATGTGTGCATTATATACCGTGTCTAAAACGGCAGCCTAACACACTGCTACTCTAACGACAATATATTTTGCACAAATGCTCTGTGAGTTTTGTATGGAGAGTTTTCCCTTGGTGATGTGTTTCTAACACATCTCCATTATGATGTGCTGAAAATATCAGTTGTCAAAACCATGGTAAAGGAAGCTCACAAGTATACGTATATACATATATTTGCTCCTACAGCAAGGCATCTAAACTTAAATATTTATATAATATTTTATTATATAAAGTTTTCTTCAGGTTCCCAGTATAGTCTAGGTTTAACATTCCTAGTGAAAAGCAAAAAATAAAATAAAATTAATGGGTACAAATAAAGGGCTGGAGACTGGCAGAAGCAATATTACTAGAAGAGAAGGTCTGGGTCCTAGTGGTAAGCACCCTATTAATATTATGTGTGCTCTGGGAAGTATCTTTCTTTAGCAGAGCTTCAGTTTCCACATTGTAACATGATCAAATTTGAATAGGTGATTTTTAAAGTTTATATTTAGTCTAATTTCTACAATAACTATGGTTAAACCAGAACAAAAGTGTAGACAAATTTTAACATTACATTTCTGTACCTACATGCTGTTCATCCACTTGGTCCATGAAGTTCTCAGCTTTAAATGTGTCCCTGTTATTACAAAGACAGATAAAGGACTTTTCTGTGAAAAGGTGTTTGGGAAGGTATTGATGGTTGAGTGCAAATGAAGAAGGGAATGTGCTTTCATTTTGGGTTGGCAGGCACCCCACCAAAAATGAAATAAAGGTGTAATGGGTTCATTGAATAAGATGGGCTCTGTAGAGCACAAGCATAAAACAAGGCAATGTCATTTTCCCTTCAAAGTGTGTCTTCAGTCTCTTTTAGTACTCTCTCTGTGGATTAGTTCTTTTTCTGCCCCTGGATGAAACTTAGGCTGGTTTTACTTCTCCAATGATAAACAAATGGTCTCTTGTTTGGGGATTAAAACTTTAGTCTGATCCAATAATCACACAACTCCAGTCCATTGCAGAATATTAATCAAGACTTCAAATGTGTATCCAGGTAAATCTTCTTTCTCCCGTCTTGGGCCTGGCCCAGTCATGGAATCCTAGAGTCCAGAGAAAGGTCAGTGTTGTTTCTTCAGTCCTTCCTGATTTTGGTTTCTGACCCATCTCGCTTTGGAGAGGATGATCAGGGAATCAATAGGGAAACAGCAGAGTCTTATCTACTTGGTTACTGCTGCCATCTGCCCTCGGTGCCAGCTACAACTGGGCCGATGTCCAAAAGTGAACCTATCTTTTGGTGAGATTTTATGGGTTTCCAGAGGATCCACTACTGAGATTTATGACTGCAGTTCCCTGAATTTGGTAAATGCTTCTCTTTCAGCTGGTCAGAAATGTCTTCTACCTCAGCTTCTGTGTTCCTTGCAATTCATTTTTTTTTTTTTTTTGGAGAGTTAGAAACAAGGTTTATTGAATGGAGAAGGAGATGGGGTGAGGTTTTGAACTGAGCTTAGGGTTAGACAAGAGAGGAGTAACTGAACATGCCCCTTACTTTTTAAGCTTCCAAGCCTGGAGGAGGCCTGAACTAAAAGACAGGAGCAGTTTTACATTGGATAAGAGTTTATACTTTTGAGAATCACCCTGGGTGAGACTAAGATATTTAGATTGGACAAATTCTTAATGCCCAAACTAAGAGACAAGTTGTTTATTATCTTGATGTAATTGTTAAGTAGTGTGACCTATTTTTCATTTTGCTTTGAGACAAAAAAAGGAGTTGCATCTTGCATCCTATTTTAACCGTAAAATCATTATACCACATAGTTAAGATTAAGGTTCTTAAAATATAACTTGAAGTTTGAACACCATCTCTCCCGTGTCATTAATTAAATATCACCATCAATAATGCAATCACTGTTTCTGTAGACTAAGCAACTTCTTGTGCTTTCTACTTTGGGCTAAGATTACTTCTCTGTGAATCCCCAGTGGTCACTGAAAAAGATGAAGAGAAATCTTAGGAGATATAAATGTGTAAGACACATTTTGAAGATAGATTGGTTCATCCAGGAGTCTGGCACTATAGCTTCTTTATCTCCGTGTCATCTGCTATGATGACTTGGAAATGAGCAGCTGCAATGAGACAGCACATTGTCTGAATGCATTGGAAAGGGAACATCCTAATAATAATGCTAGCACTAATGAGCTTCACATTAATTAATGATAGTGACAGTAGTTGAATCTTATTCAAATAACATGAACACAAATAAAAACATGCCCGGGCTTGCTTGTCACACTGCTGCACTGAATGCTACAGTCTGTTAAATAGTTGGGCAACAGCCAAATACCTGGAGTGCATCACAGAATACTACCTGATAATTCTTCAGTCAGTTTCTGTATAAATGAAAACTGTTCTTTTATGGCCTTAGATACAAGAAGTGAAGTACAGGCTAAACATCTATATTTGTAGGAGAAAAGCTTCTCCTATATTTTGCATGTAACTGTAAAGTTTCCATTAATTGGGGTTTTTACTGACCCCATTTTACCAACAGTGGTGTCCTGAGATTATGTCCGTAGGCTTATCTCAGAAGGCTAGTGAATTGCTTCCAGAATAATCTTAGAGAGCAGGGTAGGTCCCTCAACAGACCATTGTAAAGTTCTGAGAATATGACTTCTGTGTTCCCCTGTAGACACCTGGATTTTGCTTAGACATGACGTGCTAGTGTATCAACATGTGCAAATGTCCTGTGGTTGCAACTTTACATATGCTGATTTTTGCACGGTTCTTCCTAGTGGGTGGAACTCAGTGGGTAGAATTTTAGCATCTAGCTATATATTTTTCCTTTTTGTTACATGTTCCCTCAAACTGGAGTATTTTGACTCTGCATTGCCAGAGAATTTCATGAATCCCTGTAGGCTAAGGTTTCTTAGAGCAAGGTTTCTCAATCTCAACACTATTGAAATTTGCATGGGATAATTGTTGTGGGGAGCGTCCTGTGCCCTCTAGGGTGGTTTGGAGCATCCCTCTCCTCCACCTATTAGGTGCCAGTAGAAAACCTAGCCCAATTGTGACAACTAACAATATCTCTAGATATTGCCAAATATCCTCTGGGAGGGGAGCAAAATTATTCCATACCCCCATTTAGGACCACTGCCTTAGAGGGAGGGTCTTCTTTCTTATTCAAGGACTTTGCAAAGAATATTAACAGAGCACCTATGATTCACATTTGTTAGCAAACCTGAAAATACCCTAAAAGGCCCTTGCCAGAGTCACCTTTTAAACTGCAAAATGTGAATAATGCCAATTTTTAGAAAGAATGTGCTTTATCTCAGATTCATTGAGATGGGAAATATGGTTTCAGCCTTTAAATAGATAATGATATTTTTGAAAGAGCAGGTGCATTTTAATAACATGCTTCTATTTTTGAATGACAACACTACTAATAATGCTACAATCCTAATATTATAATGATTCAGATATTACCATTAGTAAAATCATCCAGCGAGATGAATTTGTGCATTTTGATCTTTTCATTATATATACATAATGCAAATGTGAAAAAACTTACAGAATAAAATGTTACTACAGATTTTTTTCAAAAGTGAAAAACAAATTTATCTGTTATAGGAATAGGGATGGGAGACAAAAAAAAAAACAGACAGAAAACTTTAATTGTTATGAGATAGATGGTAGGCAGAAGAGGAGAATAGATGAGCAAAGTGGTCCAAAATAAATATGTTCAAGAGAAAATGGTTTAAAATGACTCTTCTCTCAGAGCTCCAAGTAAGAATTGTTGCGCACAGTTTAGTCTTGGGTAATTTACAGCTCTGAATGTCAGTGCGAACCTTCTCTCCAAGGGAAGGGCATTTACTGAGAGCCTGTAAACGCATTACCTATGCTATCTAATTTAGTAATCCTTTCTACAAGCCTGGAACATTCAGAGGTGCTTTCTTTCTTTCTTTCTTTCTTTCTTTCTTTCTTTCTTTCTTTCTTTCTTTCTTTCTTTCTTTCTCTCTTTCTCTTTCTCTCTTTTCTTTCTTCCTTTCTTCCTTTCCTCCTTTCCTCCTTTTTCTTTCTTTCTTTCTTTCTTCTTTCTT